>NC_000015.10:94017035-94168550 GCF_000001405.40 Homo sapiens | reverse complement strand
AAGGAAAGTTTGCAAATCAGAAGTTTGGAGGACTTCTGATAAGGTCTGATATCATGGAGTGTCACAGTAACCAGGCCTGTAATTATGAGTTTTCTTCACCCTTCCAGGAGAGGGCGCACTACTGCAAGCAGCTTCCACAGCCGGTTGCTTCCTGGGGGCTTTGCCACTGGTTGATCTGTGGGCAGTCGGCTTTGTACCAGCCACGGTCTTAAAAACCTCCTTACTTATCCCCTTCTCCTTCAGCTGGGGCTCAGCGAGCTACAGGTGGTGCTGGCATTAGAGATTTTATGATTGAGGTGTACTGTTTTGAAAATAGAATCTCAGGTTTGCTTTGTCAGATAGGCCATATCTATTTAATCTGGTTGTAGAATCCATACCCATTCTCCAACATAGTTTAGAACTAGTTATTAACAGAGGTACGCAGGTAAAAAGATCTTTCTGTCAGTACCCTTAAGAGGAAACGTGTACACACACACACGCACACGCGCGCGCGCACACACACACACACACACACACACACACACGATACAGTTTAGTTCATGGAGGCCTGCGCTGGCCACCTCCTGTCTTATTGCCTTTGGTAATGCAATCATAACATCTAAACTTAGCTACTGCACTGATTTATGTATTGTAGATATGGTTCTTCTTGATGGCGAGCAAGCAGGGGCCCTGGCTTGATTAAGAGGAAAGCAGAGGCCTTACCTATCTCTTTCACCGCTCTGCCTCCCAAAGCCTAGCACAGGGCCTGGTAAAACTTTAGTAATATTCATAGACTCAGAATGACAACGTGAATAATGACTCTAAGAATTCAGACCATAGGTTTAGAACCAAGGCTGTGAGTTTAAGAGTTTTACCGTCTTCGAATAAAACTTCCTCTCCAATCCTGTGAGTGTTGAAATCATACCCCTTTTTAAAGCCTTGGGGGAAAAAAAAAGAGAGAAAGCCCTTATGTGTATACCACTCCAAATGAGCAGGAAACAGCATAATTATTTAATGTGTGTATTAGCCTGTTCTCACACTGCTAATAAAGACATACCTGAGACTGGGTAATTTATAAAGGAAGGAGGTTTAATGGAGTCAGTGCCACATGGCTGGGGAGGCCTCACAATCATGAGAGAAGGTAGAGGAGGAGCAAAGTCAGATCTTACATGGTGGCAAGCAAAAAAAGAGAGCATGTGCATGGGAACTCCCCTGTATAAAACCATCAGATCTCGTGAGACTTATTCACTATCACGAGAACAGCACAGGAAAGACCCACCCCCCCCCATTATTCAATCACCTCCCACAACAAGTGGGAATTATGGGAGCTAAAATTCAAGATGAGATTTGGGTGGGGACACAGCCAAACCATATCAGTGTGCTCAAAGTAATAACATTTCTTCAGGAACTAGCCAGGAACTTTGAAAAGCAACAGATTTTCTTCACTCTACAGCTGCATGACTATGTGCAAAGTACAAAATGGAAAATCATGAAACCCCAAAGAAGAACTTGACGTCAGGGCAGATCTGAATTCAAATCCCTGCTCTTCCCCCTGGATTCATCATGTCTTTTTCCAGCCTTCCTTTTCTCATCTGTAGAATGGATGTGCTAATGTACTCACTTTTTAGAGTTGTGAGATAATTAAGCACTTAACATAATACATGTTAAGTGTATTAATATGTGTGTGGCACATAGTGAAAGTCCAATGTATGTTCGTTTTTTGTCAATTTTTAGTTCATAATTTGGAAATTAGCCATGACAATGATATTTCTGGTTGTTTTAAGGCATGAAATAAACATGTAAAATATCTTTTTGGGCTATTGCATTGATATTGGTCACAAGATGGATTGATGTAGATCACAAGACCAAACTGGGTTAAAAAAAAAATCTAATATGAGCCTGCTTTTTGTTTGTAAGTATATGGAAGAAATAGTGCCCAGAATAAAATCGGAACAAGGTGGAGGAAGGATTCATTCACACAAAACATTGCAACATTATTTAAAGTGAATCTCGGAGGCAGTGGGTTTTTTTTTTTATTTTAGTATTTTTGTGTGGGTGTGAGACGGGGTATCGCTCTGTTGCCCAGGCTGGAGTGCAGTGGCACTATCTTGGCTCACTGCAACCTCCACCTCCTGGGTTCAAGCAATTCTCCTGCCTCAGCCTCCCGAGTAGTTGGGATAACAGGCACGTCCCACCACACCAGCTAATTTTTGTATTTTTAGTAGAGACGGGGTTTCACTATGTTGGCCAGGCTGGTCTCGAACTCCTGACCTCAGGGGATGCGCCCACCTCAACCTCCCAAAGTCCTACTGAAAGGCGAAGACAGCTGGACCTCCTGGATCCAGTGGGGACTTGGGGAACTTTTCTGTCTTACAAGAGGTTTATAAATTCACCAATCAGTGCTCTGCAAAAATGCACCAACCAGCACTCTGTAGCTAGCTAGAGGTTTGTAAAATGGACCAATTGGCACTTTGTAAAATGGACCAATCAGCGCTCTGTAAAATGGACCAATCAGCAGGACATGGGGGGAGGACAAATAAGGGAATAAAAGCTGGCCACCCCAACCAGCAGCGGCAACGTGGTAGGGTCCTCTTCCTTGCTGGGGAAGCTTTATTCTTTCACTCTTCATAATAAATCTTACTGCTGCTCACTCTTTGGGTCCCTGCCACGTTGAAGAGCTGTAACACTCACCAGCAAGGTTCGCGGTTTCATTCTTGAAGTCAGTAAGACCACGAACCTACTGGAAGGAACCAAATCCGGACACACTGGGATTACAGGCATGGAGGAACCAACTCCGGACACAACGGGATTACAGGCGTGAGCCACGCCAGGACGAGGCAGTGGTTCTTACACTGTAGTATGCGTTGACTAAATAAATGGTCTCTTAAAATACAGATTGCTACCCTGCCCCCCCCCCCGCCCCCCAGCCACCACTCCCAAACTCCCCAGCCATTTCTGCATTTATGGTTTTGGGTGAGTCCTAAAAATTTGCCTTTACCATAAAAGGTTGATATGGCTGGCCTTGGGACCACATTTTGTAAATCACTGCAATGGCAGTAATTCTAAGCCTTGGTTGCGTCTTGAAAGCTGGAGAACTTTCAAAGATGCT
This sequence comes from Homo sapiens, assembly GCF_000001405.40. NCBI lineage: Eukaryota > Metazoa > Chordata > Mammalia > Primates > Hominidae > Homo > Homo sapiens. Next base: position 94,165,462 of record NC_000015.10, on the reverse strand, counting down.
CATGCCTGGGCTACATCCACAGAAGTTCTGGTTTCATTGGTCTGGGGTGGGGTCTGTTTATGAGGAGTTTCAAGAGCTTTCCGGGTGACCTAAATGTGTACAAGTTAAAGATAACTTACCTAGGATATATCAGAAGTAGTGTATTTTAGAAAAGAGCCATTCGATTATGAATTTAATAAATATGAATTGAGTACCTACCATCATTCCAGCCCTGTGCTATGTAATGGGAAAACAGATATAAATAAGAACGAAAGAGGAAGATTGCCACATTGATAGCTGCTAGAGTGACAGCCTGCCAATGAGCTTGTGCACAGAAGGCTGCTAAGATGGTTGGGATGTATGTGGAAGGCTGTGAAGTTCAAGTGAGAGAAGGTTTCACTAAGGAACTTGAACTGAGTTTTGAGGGATGAGTGAGCATGATGTTTTATGAGCAGAGAATAGGGGAAGGACATTTCAGAGAGAAGGCAGCCATAAGTGAAGGCCCGGAGTTGGGAATGGACACAGTATGTGTTCACGGGCTGCAGCCTGGTGTAGTGGTGCAGAACAGGGTAGGAGAAACAGGCTAAGATAGATTTCCATGCTTAGACTTATCCTATGGGATTTGACGGGGTATTTGAGGGTTTTAGGAGGAAAGTGATAGAAATAGATTTCATCAAGTACATCAAGAGGTAGGAAGATCTACCTGAGAAACATTCTCCAGATAAATGGGCACATAGAATAATCAGGACACCAGCTTCCCCCCGCCTTTAGCTAATCCGTCAACGTCTGATTAGAAGTGCAAGGAAAAGGGGGACGCATTTCTTTTCACTGCAAGTAGAGCTGTTTCAGACTTTGGGAATCTTGGGAGAAAAAGAGTAAATGCGGAGAGAGAAGACATCAGAGAGGAGAAGAAGGAGAAGGAAAGCGCAACAGAAATGACACTGTGATTCAAATCAGTTCAGAAACAGCAAATACAAATAAAAGAAGTGAAAAAAATTTCTCCAACTGCCCCTGATCCTCTGAAACCCTTTCCCAGTGAGGCCAAAGGCCACATACAGTAGCCTGCACTGCCCCCTGCAGGTAGAATACAGAAACGGCAATGATTGAATCTGGATTTTATTCTCAGCTTCGGAGAAAGCAGAGGTAACAAGAATGTGCCTTGTGTATCATCAATCTGCCCTCCAGCTAGGCCTGCGTATTACTTCTTTACTGTTTACGTTTAAGCCTAGTTTTTTTAATTACCATTTTTTTGTTTACATGTAAGCCTAGTTTTCTACTTACCATTTTTGTTGTTTACATTTAAGCCTAGTTTTTAATTACCATTTTTGTTGTTTACATTTAAGCCTAGTTTTTTAATTACCATTTTTTCACGGCTCTTTAAAAACACTTTTTTCCTCACATTTTACATCTGAAATTAGAATGTGTCTTGGAATCAGTTTAATTGACAAGTTTTTTTGTCTTTTCTTTATGATACATGACAGAGCATCTCACAACTGATGGCATCTTAGATTTGGCAATATTTATTTTGCATATGTCAAAGGTATGGCCTGGTGGAAGAGGAATGATGTTTTTGAGTAAGATACATCTGCTGTCACCTTGACTCTGATATCCCTTCTTACCTAAATTTTGGCTCTCCATTACTTACCAGCAATTTGATTTTCAGCAAGTTAATTATCTCTCTGAGTCTTGATTTCTTCGTCTTTAATGCTACTTACAAGATTTTGTACGAGTTAAATGAAATTCCATCTAAAGTCCTTGAACAGGCCTCACCTAGCCCATTAAAGTACCCAATAAATGACAGTTATTTCCAAATTTAAGTCTCAAAAAACAGATAGCTGTCCTGCTACTAACTGAGCGAAAAGCATTCAGACAAAACTACCCGCTCTTCATCCGAACCTGCTGTTGTATCCCAAATGCAATCTGTGTGGATTAATCCTTGGAATTTATGAGAGCTACTGCTGAGAGGCTTGCTTTATGTTGATCACAAAAGGCATGAGGGTTCAGATGAAGTCTGTGGGGGCATTTATTTTAAATGCACCTATTTGGATGCTTAAAGTCTTAAGCAGAACCCAGCTATCTTTGCCCACTATAATTCAAAGCCTCCTGTCTCCAAACGGTGTTAATTTTTTTTCCTGTGCCCTTAAAACTCTCCAGCTTGGTTTCTGCTTTATTCTGATAAACCTGGAAGTGCAGGGCCAAGCCTTTTAAGTAAAACTGCTTTTCCGGTATTTAAGGCGGTTGAACATAAATGAAATAGAAAATGACAATGATAACAGGTAATGCTATCGCTGCCTGCTGGATGCTGTTTGTAGCTCTCCCTAGCAATCACAGGATAAAATAAAGCCCATGTTGAAGGGCAGTTTCTCTAATTGCTGCCAAGGGATATGAGCAGCGTGGACTTGAAGCCTCTGTTAGCTCTGCAGGGGGCAGCTCTCAGGAGCACCTGGATGAAAATGGGGCTTATAAAGATGTTCCGAAGCAAGCTTTCATGTTTGCCAAGTGGCTGCCCCTTGAACTCCCTAATATTCCTTTTTTTTCCTTAAGTGATATGAAATCATACAGTTCAAGTTCTTAGCGTGAGTCCCAAGGAGAGAGAAGGAGCAATAGAAAGAGGAGGAAATCAAAGCTTTTCGTGGTGGCTGCTGCACGCTTTCTTGGTAGCATCATTGCATTTCTGAGGTTTATGGTGAGACAAGGAGCTGAAGGGGCACAGAAGGAGGTCTTCACATGCTTGTTCTGCCCAGGCCCTGCCCCTCTATGCCAATCTGCTTCAATTGCTGGGCATTCAAGCATTTTACACGACAACAACTCTGTTAAGTAGGTATTCAGTTTATTTTATACATAGGGGTTCCAGATAGATTAAGAAGCTTACTAGTATGTGATAAAGTAATGGTTTTAATCCAGGTTGATGTGACAACATTGCCTGTGTTTTTTCCCATGAAACAGTATAGCCTCCCAACGTTCCTTCACCCCAAGCAGAAACTACACCTGAATTCACATTCATCTACTCTGACAGATCTTGCACATGTAGTATTATGTCTATACTACGCATGTATTGGATATGTGAACATCTGCTTATTTATTTATGCTTCAAAACAGCCTGATGAGATAAAAACCATTGGGATCATTTATAAATGAGAAATAATAGGCCTCATTTATAAATGAGAAATCACAGGGCTTATATATAATATGTGTGTATATATACATGTACATATATACATACATATATATACATGTATATATACATATATATACATGTACATATATACATACATATATATACATGTATATATACATATATACATACATATATACATATATATACATGTATATATACACATATATATACATGTATATATACATATATACATACATATATACATATATACATACATATATACATACATATATACACATACATATATATATATCCGTGGGTTTAGCTCTCTGAATGTTTTCGTCACCGTTATAACAACTATAAAACTGGTTAAAGCACTCCATGAGCTTTTAATCTAACAGGTCTCCAGGGTCTTGTGTTATTCAGGCTCTGTTATCTTTCTGTTATGATAATGAAAGAATAGAAACAGCAGGAAAATGTATTTAATACACACACACACACACACACACACACAAACACATGGATATGTACACCCAGGGCAAAAGGCAGTCAGGGGCAGGTGAGGCTTGTTATGTTTTGTTTGATCTATTGCAGAAAAACCAAAGCCAAATTGCTCTGGGATTTCCTCTTTCTTGGATTATGTGGGTTCTTGGAAATGAGCCTCAGAGATCTCTGCAACAAAGAAGATGAAGTGGCAGATCCTCGGGAGAACATGGACCTCTGAATTCTGGGGACCCCTGGGCAACATGGGCATGGGACGTGAATTCTGTGTTTCCCGACACCAAGATGCTAAGAAGCTGCTGAGTGGAGAGTGGGTTCCCTGAGGCTGGGGTTCTCAGTAGCAGAGAGACTTCCCCAGGTGCCTCAGTGGGAGGTGGGCAACTTTTCTTCTACTCCATTAACCCCACTGGGAGTGACTGCATCAACTCCCATCTCTGACAGAATCTTCATCACATGGTGATCCCAAAGGCAGTTACCTGAGTCACAAAATGCTACAACAGAAACGTAGCCATCCAAGGAACACAACAGCCAGAGGGAAGAAGACTAGGAAGAATATAAAGAATCTGAGTTGAAAATAAATTGCAGCTAAATTAAAGATTCGAAGATAAAGATGAATTAAAAACCCAGCAGATTTCGTAGGAGGCTACTGGAACTTCGGCTGCAGGCCCTCACTTAAAGTTAAGCCCCCTGCTTGCATGGGTCACTATTAATACCCTAGGAAGAGCTCCAGCAGTGCATCCACAGGTTATACATTTATAAAAAGTTGCCAAGTTTAACCACCAATGGCTAAGATGACTGTCTCTTTCTCCTAGAATAATGAGTCTTCCTGGTGTGTTTAGGACTGAGAGAATTCCCAGGATGTGGGACATTCAGTCCTAAAACCAGCAATGTCCCCAGCAAACCTACTGGGAAGGTAGAACTCATCTTTTTCTTTCCATGTCTCTCTTCACAGAATGCACTGGAAACACCATCAGGGCTTATAGGCTCTGGCAGCAGAAAGGTTGAAAACGGGATCCATTTAGTTTGGGCTTATTGAGGTGTACGTGCTTTGTAGTGGTTTTGTGTTTAATTACTGGTTGTGTTTAATTACTGGGAACCACCCTAGGGTAGGAATGGCCTTCAGAATGTTAGTACTGCTTACATCATTGACCCAACTCAGCATTCTCTCATGAAGATACAGGACCTTGCTTGTACCATACTCTGATCACGTCCTACTGCAACTGGCCCCGGAAGCACAAGGATAGTAGAAGAGAAACAAGGTTTGGCATATATCGAATCAGAAGTCAATTTGTGGAAATGTCTTCAAATAGTCAAATGTACACAACTGATGGCAGAATTGATGGAATTCCCATTGATATTTAGTCAAAATAACCCTTTCAAGAATAAACTTAAGAATACAATGTATACAATTATAAATGCATCACATATATTTTTTCTTTGTTTCTGGGAATTGAGTGTAAAGTAATTTTTCAGATTTCCTGCTTGAAAGACAATTGTGCCATGGGCCTAAAGCAGTGATTGTGTTCGTGCCCAAATGCCTGTGGTTTATTCATCCTGACTATCAATAATAAAACAAATTTGGATAAACTCTGCTAGAGGAAAGACTAACTTATCTCTTTAGTCTCTCTGTGGAAAATATTATAAAATTGCAATTATATGAAGAGATTAAAAATGTAAAGCTAAAAACTGTAGGAAGATAAAAGCAGTGGGGGCAAGGGTCATGCAGTTATTTAGTAGAGGTATACCATCTTTCTAGATGTACTGGATGTTGGAGGTATTTGTCAACATATTCAAATTTGTATTCTGTTGTGGTTGTCTTTCACATTCTAAGCTAATATTCACTTTTGTACCCAATTTTGCATTTCTGTTTGCATTTTTTGAGAAGTCTTTTAATATATGAAATGATATAAAATTTATTTCCCAAGCCTGAATCTCACCTTGAAAAAACGTCAAAAAATTCTACAAGAATATATAGAAGTCTCTGTGTACACTTAAGGTGGTAGAGGTGGCTTGAGCAATATGGAATCCTATAAGCATTAAAAAAACACTAGGCAAATTTCATTCTGTGTATATTAAACATAAACTTTCATACAGTAAAAGATGATTTCAAAAAATCAGCGGAAAATAGCAGATTTGGAAAAATATGTTTGCAACCCTGACAACAGAGAAAGTGTTAATTTCTAAACTGTACAAAAGATCTTGAAATTGATGAGAAGGAGATGCAAAAACCACTAGAAAAAAGTGACACAGGATATGGAGGCAGCATTTCTCTCAAGCACACACATTAGGCCAGAAACCAAATTTTAGTAGATACTACAGCATTAATATAATGTAGACCCTGATCTATAATAACAATAAATTAGAAAATAATAATAATAAAACTATTCACATGGAAACATGAAACATACTTCTGAATAACTCACGGGTCAAAGATGAATTCATCACAGAAATCAAGCAATTGTTCAGAAATGGACAATAATAGAAATGCTTCCTTTCAAAGTTGTGGGATACATTTAAAGCTAGAGTCTTAAATGTTTGCATTGGAAAAGAAAGAATAAATGGGCTAGTGTCCACCTCAAGAAATTTTTTGGAAAAAATACTGTACCCAAAGAAGGCAGTAGGAAGAAAAAATGAGCACAGGTCGGGTGGCTCATGCCTATAATCCTAGCAATTTGGAAGGCTGAAGTGGGAGAATCACTTGAAGTCAGGAGTTGGAGACCAGCTTGGGCAACACAGCAAGGACCCAGTCTCTGGAAAATGTAAAAATCAGCTGGTTGTGGTGACACGTGTCTATAGTCCTAGCTACTTAGGAGGCTAAGGCAGGAAGATGTTTTGAGCCCAGGAATCTGAGGTTACAGTGAACTATGATCACACCACTGCACTCCATCCTGGGCAGCAGAGGAAGACCTGTCTCTAAAAAAAAGAAAAAAAAAATTAAAATAGAACAAACTAATAAACTAGAACACAAAGTTTAAAAAAAAAAATCAGACAAAAATCAAAGGTACGGCTGGGCATGGTGGCTCATGCCTGTAATCCCAGCACTTTGGGAGGCCAAGACAGGCAGATCATGAGGTCAAGAGTTCAAGACCATCCTGGCCAACGTGGGGAAACCCCATCTTTACCAAAAATATCAAAAATTAGCTGGGCCTTGTGGTGCATGCCTGTAATCCCAGCTACTTGGGAGGCTGAGGCAGGAGAATCACCTGAACCTGGGAGGCGGAGGTTGCAGTGAGCCGAGACTGCGCCACTGCACTCCAGCCTGGGCGACAGAGCGAGACTCCATCTCAATAAATAAATAAATAAATAAATAAATAAATAAATAAAGATGCTTGCTTAATTTGCATTGATTAATAAAGTTAAAATTCTGATGAAATTGAGAAAGAAAAGGCATAAATAAACCTATGAACTAAAAAGGGGATACAATTTGAGATATAATGCAGGTATAAGAAGAGAAAAGTATGAATACATTTATATCATTTACTTTAAAACTGAGACAAATGAATACATTTCTAGAAATTATTTCTGGCTATATTTATCCAATTTTCTAATTACAACTTACCAAAAATGTGACTCTAGAAGAAATAGAAACCAGAATTGACCTTTAACCATTAAAATATTAAATCAGTAAATAAAAGTCTATCCCTCAAATTTACCGTTGGGTCCGATGTTTTACGATCGAATTCTTCCAAAAATCAAGAAATACATCATCCTTAATGTTATGAAAATATTAGGATATACATAATATTTTTTCAGTTCATAGCACCCTTATTGTCTCATTATTTTTCCTGGCATATCAGGCTGAAAAAAGCTCCAAGGTTCTCTTTATTAAGCACTGTTACTGGTGGGTCTTTTTTCTTAGAGCTCCCAGATGGTGTGGGGCCGCTCCCAAGATGGCAGCAAGCCTTTTGTTCTCTGACCTGGGGTTCTTGGCCTCACGAATTCCAAGGAATGGAATCTTGGGCCATGTGGTGAGTGTTATAGCTCTATTGGAAGCCATGGGTCACGGAAGAAGAGAACCATGGAACCCAGCGACTTGTGTTCAGCTTGATTAGGACGAACCCGGGCACTTAGCCACGCAGGAACAATGGCGAGCCTCTAGCCCTATCGGGAGCGGCAGTGGGTGCCTCGCTGGATCAGAAGCTCAGCAGACACCCTGCCAGCTCTGGAGGAGTGGAAGTCAGCGACGGGTCTGCGATTATGGCAATCAGCAGTGGTGGACAGCGAGCGAAAGCTCAGTTTGAGCCGGAACAAACACGGACCAGAAAAGTGTGTAGCTGCAAGATTAGAGTGAAAACAGAGCTCCCAAGGTTTAATAGAGTGAAAACAGAGCTCCCATACAACAGGAGGGGACCCAAAGGGGGTTGCCCACTCCCAGCTCGAATGCCTGGGGTTTATATCTCAATCATTGTCCCTCCCCTGTGCTCTCAGATGATAGATGATTTGACTATTTCTTTGCCTCCTGCTTTTAGCCTAATTGGTATTTTAGTGAGCCCTCTTTACTACCTGATTGGTCAGATGTGAGCTGAGTTACAAGCCCCGTGTTTAAAAGTGGGTGCAGTCACCTTCCGCAGCTAGGCTTAGGAAATCTTAGTCGGCCTAGGAAATCCAGCTAGTCCTGTCTCTCAGCACTATAGTTAGACTTTCAACAAAAATAAATATATAGTGTGTATGAAGATGTTAAGTACAATGGAAAAAAATTAAAGAGGGAGTATGTGTATGTTGGGACAATTGCAATTAACTAGGGTTGAAAACTACGGTGTGAATATCACAGTAATCAAATGGACTTTGGTTAGGCAATGCATTCAGAAATGGAATGGGCATACATTTGCACCCCTCGTCCTTTTCTGTCTTACATGATCTCTCTACTACTTAGTAAATTTTCATTGCCTCTCAGGTGTCTGGAGTTAGGGGAGGCACCTCTCCATCACTATATAAACTGGCACGTACAATGTCTGGTCATTGTTTAGAAGGTCCACAATTCTAATCGATTAAAGAATACATGAACAAAAACTCAGCAATCAAATATTAATACCTATTTCCTAGATGCCCAGATATGCACTTGCAGGGTTGTAATCTCAATAGACTAACACAATTAGGGAAAGTCTCCCATGGCAATAACCTGATTGCATAGGAGACCGCACATGGCTTCATGCCATACCCAAAGAACCCCAGAGAAATCCAGGGAAGGGCTGAAATGCAAGGTAGTGCAAGCCAAATTCAAACTTCAGAGTTCTTGAGTGGGAGAGAAGTTGAGACACGTTCTCAAATAAAACGAAATAGAACAAGAGGAACTGTTCTCCCCAAACAGAATAGACAATATGACAAATGAGGCCCTCACATTCAGCAGTTGCTCTTGGAATTTATTTAATTTGAGTAAAATGTCATTAACTTTTACTGTTGCTTTCTTGAGCGAACATTTTGCCTAGCTCAAACAATACATGTACACAAAGCCTCAAAGAAATTTTTGTCAATGAAAAATTGTCTTGCATATCAAGGTCATGTTGAGAATTCCAGGAATAAATGTTTAAATGAGGTAAAATAGTCTTTTCAAAAGCAAAGGGTGAATACAAATAGATCATGCAATGTAAACAAAATGGTGAAATTCTGAAGGGAAAGAAGACAAAAAAAATTGTCTTCTCTATCAAGGTCATGTTGAGAATTCCAGGAGTAAATGTTTAAATGAGGTAAAATAATCTTTTCAAAAGCAAAGGGTGAATACAAATAGAGAGTTTTGTAGTTGGAATTTAACAGATTGCTTTTTGTAATGGGCTTCTTTGTGATTTAGTATTTTGAGTTCACGGCTAACTTATTAAAACTTATAAGTGAAAATGTCCACAATAATTCTATGCTGTTTAGATAGCAATGATAAGAGTTTAAATGGGGACTGTTTTCATTTCCAGTTTTTTGACTACCAGTCAAGTGGACACTTCATCAAAGTCGACCTGAACAACTAAAAATAACTTAAGATAGTTGTCCCATCAAATATACCTATTGGTAGGTATGTTCTTTTACCCAATTAGGATGTCACAATCTTCTTTGATCTCTACAATGATCACGCAATATAAACAAAATGGTGAGCTTCGGAAGGGAAAGTGATTTGTCTTGCCTAAAAGGCAAGTTCATGGAATTGTCATCTATTTAACAAAGAAAATGCTGGGATCAGGGCCGAGGTCTGCTGGTTGCTTGCTTTTTATCTGTATGGGCAGAAGGCTCTATTCTATCAACTGATGCCACTGCTCCCAAGAACAGAGATGCAAAATGTTATATGTCCACGTTGAATCTGTACTAAAATAAGAGGAAAAGGGGTAATGTCATGAGTTGTACTTAAAGCTAACATTCACTTTTTAAAAAAACGGTCCCTTATTCTGAGATTTGTATCATGTAATTAATAGTCAATGGTGGATTTTACATGAGTGTACTTGACACAGTTTGAATCTGCAGTTTATTTTATTTTTTAAATTATCTAAAAAATGTATTTTACTGATTGAAATGCAAAATTTTGGTACAACTGACCTAAAAATGTTTATATGATTATTTGTTCTCTTCTCAAGACACTACACTGGACTTTCACTATGAATTATCTAAATTTTGCAGAATGCACAAAAATTTTTTTTCACAGAATGAAAAAATCAAGTAACACATCAAGAACTCCAGTTGTATCCCTGTGTCAATCAGAGGTCAAAAGAGTTTGGTTTACTGTCATTGATAGGAGCGTTTTTCCTCTGTGTGTGGTTATAGGGCAAGCTTGAAATTCGCAACTTGGCAGACAAAGTAAAAGATCTGTGGGGAAATGGTGAGAAATTTGTCATTGCTCAAATCTGGTGCTCAGCCTTGAGCTGAGTTTAATATTAATCTTGATAGAGGAATTTTGTACTGGGACAGAGAATCAGAGAAATGCACCTAGAATTTATTGAGCATGTGGTAAAAATCCATTTTTGTAGGGCTATTTTTCTTCTGCAATAAATGATTAGGAGAGGAAAAGAGGAAAAGCTTAAAATTGGTGTCAAGCTCTTTATTTCATCCATTTGGGATTAGCTGGAAGATAAATATGTTTGTTTATAATGTATCACTTCCGATGAAGTTGAAAAGATGGAGGGGAGAAAAATATCAACCAGGCAGGGGCTTGGGACGATCTAGCTAAAGTCCTTACAGTAGAATTTGTCAAGTAGTAATGGACTATCAATGAGTTTTTATTGACTGAATCTGATACAAAAACTGAGTACAGTACTTAACCAATTCTATGAGGAAATAAATGTTACAAAATGAGAATGTATTACTCTTCCCTGCCTAAGATTTACAGATAAACACATTTTTCTTTTCTGTTAACAAAGCATATAATAACCTAACACATTGATCATTGTCAAATTTGGGAGCCTGTATTAAATTGCAATTGCACAATTAGGCCAGTAGAGCTACGTATCCCTGTTTCCACATTAAAGTGAGGCAACTTGTGTTCATGCCATCCTCAGTTTTTAAAGACAGAGGTGTCAATATAGTTTCTCAAAAATTGTCCATTATTCAACCAAGCACGGGGTTGAATCAAGAGTTGTAATTTGACACAAGATGGCGGCCTTAATGATATTCCTTTTTCAACCTCATTTCTAATTCTCCTCAGGATGCTCCCCTTCATGTTGTTAGTTGGGGTGTCTAGTGCTTATCTCTTTACTTTGCACATGTTAAATGGCTGCTTGTCTCAGATAAAACTATGCATTCCATCTTGGTAAACTTCTAACAAAGAATTTATAAGAGAAAAGGAAAGTACTACACTGTAAAATATGTGTGTGTGTGGTTTTGTGCAGTTGTAGGTGTTATGGATGTATTTCTGGTAATATTTCTCACCCACCTAAAAATTTCAGTTTATGATTGATATGGTTTGGCTATGTCCCCACCCAAATCTCATCTTGAATTGTAACTCCCATAATTCCCACGTGTCGTGGGAGGGACCTGGTGGGAGGTAATTGAATCATGGGGGCAGGTCTTTCCCATGCTGTTCTCGTGATAGTAAGTCTCAGGAGACCTGATGGTTTTCTAGAGGGGAACTCTCATTTATAAAGGGGAGTTGATAGTTCCCCTAAACAAATTGTTTCCCTCTGCCATGTAAGACATCTCTTTGCTCTTCCTTCATCTTCTGTCATGATCGTGAGGCCTCCCCAGGCATGTGGAGCTGTGAGTTCATTAAACTTCTTTCCTTTGTAAATTACCCAGTCTCAGGTATGTCTTTATTAGCAGCGTGAAAATGGACTAATACAATGATACACCAGTAGACCAGATATATGACATTATAAATGATGTCAGCTAATTTTACCTTCTGGTAGTACTCATAGTAGTAATTTTTTTTACCACTACTAGTAGAAATTTTTTACTACTATTTTTTGCTATCTCCATGGGGACTTTTTTTTATAACCATGGTTACCTTCTTGCAGTATTCATAGTGGGAAAGACTTGAAATTTGCTATCTCCATGAGGTCATTTATTATAACCATGGTTTTCTTCATATGACTGCTTTTTGTTTGCATAAATGTTATTATCAACTCTTTATTTTGATAATCTGTCCTGTATAGTATCTATAACAGAGTGTTTTGCATCATTTAAGCATCCGGACTTTGAACTGATCGTGGCTAGATGGTTTTCCACCACCTCCCAATGGTTTAATTTTCCATTTGGTTCTAAGTATTGTTTCCAGATTGACCAGAGGATTGTCTTAAAGGGGAAGATGTTATATGTTTCACCATCATGCTTCAAACCAAAGTCTTTGGAAGTTTGAAGAACCATTTAGAAAACTGTTGTCAGCTGAGGTTTACATTAAGTAAGTCTATAACTTTAAGGACTCAGACTGTTAACACATTTATTTACTTCTACTCTTCCAGGCTAAGTCAGAGTAGCCTGAATGGTACCTAATTACAAGATCGCTGAGTTGGCATGCAATAGGCTGGGTAACTGAACAAAGCAGTTCGTTGTTAGTACACTGACATCCTTGGGAGCTATGGTTAAAGTCCATGGAATTGGTGGACTCCTTCCTAAGCATCCAACTAGTCAAATCAAAACACGATCAATATCCTGTAGAGAGTAATATACGCTACAGACATTCCCAGGAGTGTTAGTGTCCAGCGGAGTCTAGACTATAGGGGCCCCTATTTTTTAAAACCAAGAGTTCCTTTTTAATGTAAAATGTTTCAAATGATTGAAGCTATTGTTTGTTAAGAAGTTTATCAGTTTCTAAGATAATATGTTTTTCTAGTTCTAAAATTAAAAAAATTTCATTCAGTGGAAACAAGTTGGAAAACACGCTGCAGGATATTGTCCAGGAGAACTTCCCCAATCTAGCAAGGCAGGCCAACATTCAAATTCAGGAAATACAGAGAATGCCACAAAGATACTCCTCAAGAAGAGCAACTCCAAGACACATAATTGTCAGATTCACCAAAGTTGAAATGAAGGAAAAAATGTTAAGGGCAGCCAGAGAGAAAGGTCGGGTTACCCACAAAGGGAAGCCCATCAGACTAACAGCTGATATCTCAGAAGAAACTCTACAAGCCAGAAGAGAGTGGGGGCCAATATTCAACTTTCTTAAAGAAAAGAATTTTCAACCCAGAATTTCATATCCAGCCAAACTAAGCTTCAGAAGTGGAAAAATAAAATCCTTTACAGACAAGCAAATGCTGAGAGATTTTGTCACCACCAGGCTTGCCCTAAAAGAGCACCTGAAGGAAGCACTAAACATGGAAAGGAACAACCAGTACCAGCCACTGCAAAAACATGCCAAATTGTAGAGACCATCGAGGCTAGGAAGAAACTGCATTAACTAACGAGCAAAATTACCAGCTAACCTCATAATGACAGGATCAAATTCACACATAACAATATTAACCTTAAATGTAAATGGGCTAAATGCTCCAATTAAAAGACACAGACTGGCAAATTGGATAAAGAGTCAAGACCCATCACTGTGCTGTATTCAGGAAACCCATCTCACATGCAGAGACACACATAGGCTCAAAATAAAGGGATGGAGGAAGATCTACCAAGCAAATGGAAAACAAAAAAAAAGGCAGGGGTTGCAATCCTAGTCTCTCATAAAACAGACTTTAAACCAACAAAGATCAAAAGAGACAAAGAAGGCCATTACATAATGGTAAAGGGATCAATTCAACAAGAAGAGCTAAGTATCCTAAATATATATGCACCCGATACAGGAGCACCCAGATTCATAAAGCAAGTCCTTAGAGACCTACAAAGAGACTTAGACTCTCACACAATAATAATGGGAGACTTTAACACCCCACTGTCAACGTTAGACAGATCAACGAGAAAGAAAGTTAACAAGGATATCCAGGAATTGAACTCAGCTCTGCACCAAGCGGACCTAATAGACATCTACAGAACTCTCCACCACAAATCAACAGAATATACATTCTTCTCAGCATCACACCACACTTATTCCAAAACTGACCACATAGTTGGAAGTACAGCCCTCCTCAGCAAGTGTAAAAGAATAGAAATTATAACAAACTGTCTCTCAGACCACTGTGCAATCAAACTAGAACTCAGGATTAAGAATCTCACTCAAAACCGCTCAACTACATGGAAACTGAACAACCCGCTCCTGAATGACTACTGGGTACATAACGAAATGAAGGCAGAAATAAAGATGTTCTTTGAAACCAATGAGAACAAAAACACAACATACAAGAATCTCTGGGACACATTCAAAGCAGTGTGTAGAGGGAAATTTATAGTACTAAATGCCCACAAGAGAAAGCAGGAAAGATCGAAAATTGACACCCTAACATCACAATTACAAGAACTAGAGAAGCAAGAGCAAACACATTCAAAACCTAGCAGAAGGCAAGAAATAACTAAGATCAGAGCAGAACTGAAGGAAATAGAGACACAAAAAACCCTTCAAAAAATCAATGAATCCAGGAGCTGGTTTTTTGAAAAGATCAACAAAATTGATAGACCGCTAGCAAGACTAATGAAGAAGAAAAGAGAGAAGGATCAAATAAAAATAAAAAATGATAAAGGGGATAAAAAATAACAAATGATAAAGGGGATACCACCACCAATCCCACAGAAATACAAACTACCATCAGAGAATACTATAAACACCTCTGTGCAAATAAACTAGAAAATCTAGAAGAAATGGATAAATTCCTCGACATATACACCCTCCCAAGACTAAACCAGGAAGAAGTTGAACCTCTGAATAGACTAATAACAGGCTCTGAAATTGAGGCAATAATTAATAGCTTACCAACCAAAAAAAAAGTCCAGGACCAGATGGATTCACAGCTGAATTCTACCAGAAGTACGAGGAGGAACTGGTACCATTCCTTCTGAAACTATTCCAATCAATAGAAAAAGAGGGAATCATCCCTAACTCATTTTATGAGGCCTGCATCATCCTGATATCAAAGCCTGACAGAGACACAACAAAAAAAGAGAATTTTAGACCAATATCCCTGATGAACATCGAGCAAAAATCCTCAATAAAATACTGGCAAACCGAATCCAGCAGCACATCAAAAAGCTTATCCACCATGATCAAGTGGGCTTCATCCCTGGGATGCAAGACTGGTTCAACATACGAAAATCAATAAATGTAATCCAGCACATAAACAGAACCAACGACAAAAACCACGTGATTATCTCAATAGATGCAGAAAAGGCCTTTGACAAAATTCAACAACCCTTCATGCTAAAAACTCTCAATAAATTAGGTATTGATGGGATGTATCTCAAAATAATAAGAGTTATCTATGACAAACCCACAGCCAATATCATACTGAATGGGCAAAAACTGGAAGCATTCCCTTTGAAAACTGGCACAAGACAGGGATGCCCTCTCTCACCACTCATATTCAACATAGTGTTGGAAGTTCTGGCCAGGGCAATCAGGCAGGAGAAGGAAATAAAGGGTATTCAATTAGGAAAAGAGGAAGTCAAATTGTCCCTGTTTGCAGATGATGTGATTGTATATCTAGAAAACCCCATCATCTCAGCCCAAAATCTCCTTAAGCTGATAGGCAACTTCAGCAAAGTCTCAGGATACAAAATCAATGTGCAAAAATCACAAGCATTCTTATACACCAACAACAGACAAACAGAGAGCCAAATCATGAGTGAACTCCCATTCACAATTACTTCAAAGAGAATAAAATACCTAGGAATCCAACTTACAAGACACATGAAGGACCTCTTCAAGGAGAACTACAAACCACCGCTCAATGAAATAAAAGAGGATACAAACAAATGGTAGAACATTCCATGCTCATGGGTACCAAGAATCAATATCGTGAAAATGGCCATATTGCCCAAGGTAATTTATAGATTCAATGCCATCCCCATCAAGCTAACAATGACTTTCTTCACAGAATTGGAAAAAACTACTTTAAAGTTCAGATGGAACCAAAAAAGAGCCCGCATTGCCAAGTCAATCCTGAGCCAAAAGAACAAAGCTGGAGGCATCACTCTAACTGACTTCAAACTATACTACAAGGCTACAGTAACCAAAACAGCATGGTACTGGTACCAAAACAGAGATATAGACCAATAGAACAGAACAGAGCCCTCAGAAATAATGCCACATATCTACAACCATCTGATCTTTGACAAACCCAACAAAAACAAGAAATGGGGAAAGGATTCCCTATTTAATAAATGGTGCTGGGAAAACTGGCTAGCCATATGTAGAAAGCTGAAACTGGATCCCTTCCTTACACCTTATACAAAAATTAATTCAAGATGGATTAAAGACTTAAACATTAGACCTGAAACCATAAAAACCCTACAAGAAAACCTAGGCAATACCATTCAGGACATAGGCATGGGCAAGAACTTCACTTCTAAAACACCAAAAGCAATGGCAACAAAAGCCAAAATTGACAAGTGGGATCTAATTAAACTAAAGAGCTTCTGCACAGCAAAAGAAACCACCATCAGAGTGAACATGCAACCTACAGAATGGGAGAAAATTTTTGCAATCTACTCATCTGACAAAGGGCTAATATCCAGAATCTACAATGAACTCAAACAAATTTACAAGAAAAAAACAAACAACCCCATCAAAAAGTGGGCGAAGGATATGAACAGACATTTCTCAAAAGAAGACATTTATGCAGCCAAAAGACCCATGAAAAAATGCTCATCATCACTGGCCATCAGAGAAATGCAAATCAAAACCACAATGAGATACTATCTCACACCAGTTAGAATGGCGATCATTAAAAAGTCAGGAAACAACAGGTGCTGGAGAGGATGTGGAGAAATAGGAACACTTTTACACTGTTGGTGGGACTGTAAACTAGTTCAAGCATTGTGGAAGTCGGTGTGGTGATTCCTCAGGGATCTAGAACTAGCAATACCATTTGATCCAGCCATCCCATTACTGGGTATATACCCAAAGGATTATAAATCATGCTGCTATAAAGACACATGCACACGTATGTTTATTGTGGCACTATTCACAATAGCAAAGACTTGGAACCAAGCCAAATGTCCAACAATGATAGACTGGATTAAGAAAATGTGGCACATATACACCATGGAATACTATGCAGCCATAAAAATGATGAGTTCATGTCCTTTGTAGAGACATGGATGAAGCTGGAAACCATCATTCTCAGCAAACTATCTCAAGGACAAAAAACCAAACACCGCATGTTCTCACTCATAGGTGGGAATTGAACAACGAGAACACATGGATGCAGGAAGGGGAACATCACACACCAGGGCCTGTTGTGGGGTGGGGGGAGGGGGGAGGGATAGCATTAGGAGATATACCTGATGTTAAATGACTAGTTAATGGGTGCAGCACACCAACATGGCACATGTATACATATGTAACTAGCCTGCACGTTGTGCACATGTACCCTAAAACTTAAAGTATAATAAAAAAATTCATTCAGTTCATATACTCTGAAGAAATTTCTAGGAGCAATAGGTTACATAACACCCTCCCCCCACCCCAACACAAACACACACACACACACACACACACACACACACACACACACTTTAAAAAACTCTCCTATTAGTTTGGTGCCATTACTTTCAATGGTGAAACCACAGTTAGTTCTGCACTAATGTAATAGATTCTAAGAATGCTGTTCCAGGAAGGAAACTCACTGAATTCTTTCTGAATTCTACAGTAAATATAGCTAAACTTATCTGAGTCCAGCAATTGGTATTAAAAGGTTGGAAGAAGATGAGCTATGCATCAGGAGTCTTACAGTAGGAAAGGTGGGGGAGAAACAAGAGGCAGTAATACTAGTAGAAGGAATGTTCTCCACTTTCAGTTACTATGGTGCTTTGGATTACCACTTTGGTCTTATTCCAAGTTTTCTCTCAATTATGGGTAGTGATTTGAGATTATTAAACCCATCACAATGTGGCTCACAATTCCATCTCTGGCCTTTCCTCTCTTCTCCTGCCTCCTGACGGGGTCATAGAAGCAGGGCAGGGAAAAGCAAATCACTTTGCTCCTGCTGCATGCATCTCCCACAAGGAGGCTGGCACCTTACTTCCAGCTCGTTAGGTTCCAGGGAAAAATATTCTTGAAATACTTTCTAAGCCAAGAGACCTACACAAGATCTATAGGGTGTCTGGGTGGGCTTTCTCGGGTCTTCCTTCTGCCTATATGTCATGTCCCCATCTGCCACTTGAATTGTTCCCCACATTCCCGAGACTGGCAGGACAGAGTCTCTGGACTGGCCTCCAGGGCATGAGCATCATTCCCTGGTCAGAGCTGGTCTTTTACCTAAAACTGTTGACTGAATGACAATCTAGAAAGTCCATAGGTGTTTTGTGAATATTATTTATTCAAATGACTACTTGAAACTTATAAATCATTGTAGGGTGGAGGAAAAACTAGAAAAGTTCAGGCAAGTAAGAGCATGTTCGTAGGATTTCATGGAAGTGCTGTTTAGAGATTAGGCTAAATTTATACCTGTGCCCATATACGAAGCATTCGCTGTCTGATCATCGTTTGCCATCCATTCATTTGGAATCAAGGAATAAATTACAAAGAAGGAACACATTGTGAAGAGATAGCTGGCCTAAATTATCAGCCTTTCTATTATCAAAATTTTGTATAAAGAACATGAGAACTAAATGCCAGATTATGTCAACCAGCATGTCCACTAGCCCTAGTGGTATATCTTGACATGAGCGTCAAGACTTGTTTTGTAAGTAAGTGTGATATTTAGCCCTTGCAAGATCGCAGTCTTCAGGTTAAGGATCTACTCTACTCATTACTAACTTTCATATAACTCAGATGTCTTTTTTTAAAACATATGAATTTATATTAAATGTATACTGTAAGTCTAGGATTGAAAACTGGACACTGAAAATTAATTTATTTCTATAAGCAAATGTAAATAAAAGTTTATAAAAATGTAGAACAATGATCATCATAGACATTAATTTCTTGAAATAAATCTCTTTTTTTGCCCCATTTTTGCTTACCTTCCCCTCATCTCCTTCTCCCATGTCAGCATACTTTCATCTTTTCTTCCCATCTTCCTGCCTGCACGCCAGGGAACCTACATTAACATAATATATGCCCCTCCATGGTTTCCTCGATGTAATATATAAAATGTGTAGACACATCGGCACATTTACAGAATGTAAAAATTATATTCACATGTCTGCATCTTGATTTTCTCACTTATTATCTAAAAATAAGCCCTCAAAATCAAGTGGCATAGCTACTCTTTTTCATGGCTGCAAACTAGTTCATGGTACGAATATACCATAATTTATTCAGCCATAAGCCTACTGAAAGATATTTACTGTGTTTGAAAAATTTTGTCCCTATGGACAATGCTACTATAAACATTGTAATGTGTGTATCATAGCAACAACTCAGAAAAAGAATAATTATTGATATTCTAAAAAGAGGAAGCTACAGCTAAGAAAAGTTAACTAACATTCAAATGACGACATCGTTGGTCTTGTTTGACTCTAATCAATGTTGCATGACACTATATTTTTTCTTGTTCTAATTTATTAAAAAATGTAGGTTAATAAATGGAAACATGTGAATCTTTCTAAGTCAATGCATAGATCCAGTACCTGACAGTGGAGATCAAATACAGCTTTGAAATTTAAGAAGAAAAAATGATTTTACATTTATTTTTATAGGTGGGTCTCTTCAAGTACCAAAGTTTATTCAAAATTTAGGCCTTTGGGGAGAAATATGGCAAATTAGAATTTTAAAGAAACACCTCCCGATAAAGGATATTTCAAATTGCCAGATAATACATTAGGAAAATCACATAATTCTGGTTAGGGGACATATGGATTGGCTTGGCTAAGACTAAACTTTCCACTAACAGCTATGTATGGAACAACTCTTGTAAGTAATTGAAGATAAATTAACAGAGGTCGGCTTATACAACTCTGGTCCCTGAGAAGAGAGAAGCAGAGACAGCACTCCATATTTATCTTGGATTTTTTCATGAAAGCATTTTCTAATTTTCTGTGGAGGAAAGCCAAAATGAAGCAAAAAGTGGTTGTCTTACTGCAATAAAGATACCAAAGCCAGGATTCCAAGCTGCGACATTGGCTGGGATATGAGGGGCAAAATCACAGAGAATAGAGAAGTGCCGAGAAGTAAACGCTGAAATCTCTGATCTAATTTCTTTAAAGTCATTGGCTGATTCCTAAGCTAAATGCAGCAGACTAAGAGTCCAAAAGTTCAGCAGGCTGCAGCATCTCAGGGGCCGAACAGAAAAGCTGAGATTGCAGCAGTTGTGTGTTGCTGGGAAAACTATGATGTTCAATTCCTGACAAGCTGGAAGTTTTTTGAGGTATACCCCAGACTTTCTGCTGAGTTTCAAAAAGGGCCACGAATTAGGAATAAAGGCTACAAGCTTGTAATAGGGACCACATCTTAGAAGACAGAACCATGGCTTAGCAGTAATCACAAAATGGAAATAAACTAACCCCAAACACTAAAATCAAACGCCCATTAGATTATGGGGATCTGTACTTCCTAGTTGCTCCCAGGAGAAAACCTAACCCTTTGTCTTAGTCCGTTTAGTGTTGCTATAAAGGAATACCTGAGGCTGGGTAATTTATAAGGAAAAGAGGTTTAGTTAGCTCACAGTACTGCAGGCCGTACAAGAAGCATGATGCAGACAGCATGATGCAGACATCTGCTCAGCTGCTTGTGAGGGCCTCAGGCCCCTTCCACTCAGGGTGGAAGGCAAAGGGAAGCTGGTTTATGCAGACATCACATAGCAAGAGAGGAAGCAAGCAGGTGGGGGAGATGCCAGGCTCTTTTTAACAATCAGCTCTTGTGGGAACTAATAGAGTGGAAACTCACTTACTCCTGAGAAAGATCATTAATCTAATCATGAGAGAATCAGCTCCCATGACCAAAACACATCCATTAGGACCCACCTTTAACATTGGGAACAAAATTTTAACATGAGGTTGGAGGGGAGAAACATCAAAGTATAGCACTTTTGTTGGAAGAGGACAGTAAAACCCATAACCTCTATAATATGTCATCTTGAATTTCAGGTTTCCCATTTGAAGCACTGGAGCAACTGACCAAAATAAAATTTTTAGAAAACCATAGAAAAAACCCACAGGAGATCCAGATAGTCAAGTTAAAATAACTATGATAAAAATGCTTTTAAAAGTGGGAAAATATGACAAGTTTTATAGAGTACAGGATCTGTAAACTGAAACTTTAGAACTGACAACACTGTATCTGACAGTAAGAAATTAATTTATAGGTTTAATAGAAGATTAGACACAACAGAACAGATAATTGGTGAGCTACAAGATAAGTCAGTGCAAAAATATCAAAACTGAAAGACAAAATGACATCAAAAGATGAAAAGAAAACACAAAAGACAAGGCATATGTGCCTAACAGCATGATCTAATTGAAATATAATGGGAGTATCAACTGTGAATAACACTTTTCCAGAAATACAAAATGTATAAAATTTTATCACTGGAAGGACTGCATTATTAGAAATGTTAATGGACCATTCTTCAGGCAGAAGAAAAAAAACACAAGAGAGAAATGTCAATCTACAAAAGTGAATAAAGAACACCAAAAAGTTGTCTATAAATGTAAATATATAAAACTTAAAAATACTTTAATCCTTTAAAAGATAATAGACTGCTTAAATAAGGTAATAGCAATGTAGTGTGGAAGTTTAGAATATATGTGGAAGTACAGTGTATACAAACAATAACAATAAAGTTGAGGGGAAAAATGAAGATACAATGTTATAAGTTTCTTACACTACATGCAAAGGTGTATAATATCACTTGAAGTAAGATGGCGATTAAATAAAAATGTATACTATAAGTCCTAAAAGATCCATCAAAGTAACAAAATAATGAGTCATGGCTAGTAAGTCAAGAAAGGAAATAAAGTGGAACCATAAAAAAAATCATTTAATTCCAGATAAAGCAAAAGAACGGGAATAAGAACACAAATAATAGATGGTTAGAAAACAAATAGCAAGATGGTAGGTTTACGCCTACCATTTATTTATTTATTTATTTATTTATTTATTTATTTATTTATTTGAGACAGAGTCTTGCTCTGTCGCCCAGGCTGGAGTGCAGTGGCATGATCTCGGCTCACTGCAAGCTCCACCTCCCGGGTTCACGCCATTCTCCTGCCTCAACCTCCTGAGTATCTGGGACTACAGGCGCCCGCCACCACGCCTGGCTAATTTTTTGTATATTTAGTAGAGACGGGGTTTCACCATGTTAGCCAGGATGGTCTCGATCTCTTGACCTTGTGATCTGTCCACCTCGGCCCCGCAAAGTTATTATTTTTTTCTTTTTTGAGACGGAATCTTGCTCTGTACCCCAGGCTGGAGTGCAGTGGCGCGATCTTGGCTCACTGCAAGCTCAGCCTCCTGGGTTCACGCCATTCTCCTGCCTCAGCCTCCCAAGTTGCTGGGACTACAGGCGCCCGCCACCATGCCCAGCTAATTTTTTTGTATTTTTAGTAGAGACGGGATTTCACCGTGTTAGCCAGGATGGTCTTGATTTCCTAACCTCGTGATCCACCCGCCTCTGCCTCCCAAAGTGCTGGGATTACAGGCGTGAGCCACTGCGCCAGGCTAAGCCTACCATTTTAACAATTACTTTACATATAAAATGTCTAAATACCTCAATTATAGGTCAGAAGTTGTGAGATGGATAAAATAAGCAAGACTTATCTGTATGCTATTTATAAGAAACGTGCTTTAATTACAAAGACACAAATAGGTTAAAATGATAGAAAAATATATTCCATGCCAACCCTAATAAAAATAATGCTGGAATGACTATACTAATATATGACAAACTGCATTACAGAGCAAAGATATATCCAAAGGGATATACGAAGTCACTTCATAATAATAAAAAGCTCAATTTATCAAGAAGATATAACAATCATGAATGTTTATGCACCTGATAATGGAGTGTCAAAATTCATGAAACAAAAATGGATGAAACTGGAAAGAGAAACAGACAATTACACAATTAGATGTCTCTCTCTCTCTCTCTGTCTCTGTCTCTCTCTCTGTCTCCTCTCTCTAACTCACTATAATGGAAATAAAGAATGCCTATGAAGAGCTCACCAGTAGACTAGGTATAGCTGAGAAAAGAGCCAATATTCTTGAATATAAGTCAAAAGAAATATCCTAAATATAAATGCAAAAACTGAAAAAGAAAGGAAGGATAAAAGAAAGAAGGAATGAAGGGAGGAAGGAAGGAAAGAAGGAAGGCGAGAGAGGGGGAATAACACAGGGAGAGAAACAGAGAAGAAAGGAGAAAGAGAAAGAGAGGAGAGAAGAAAACAATAAAAAATTGTAGAGACAATTTCCAAATGTGCAACGTAAGCACAATTGGAATGCTAGAAAGAAAAAAGAGAAAGCCAGAAGGAAAGAAAGGAGAGAGAATATTTCAGTGATATTGTTATTTGAGTGGTAATGACCAAGAATTTTGAGAGACACAAAATCAGAAATACAGGAAGCTCAGAGAGCACCAGTCACAATAAATACCAAAATAATACAGCTAGGCATATACTATTTAAATTGCAGAAAACCAAAGACAAGAAGAAAATGTAGAAAGAAGCCAGAGGGGGGGAAAATGCCTTATCAGTAGAGGACAAATGTTAAGAATTACAGCTGACTTTTCATTGGAAACCATGCAAGTAAGAAGAGTGGAATAAAATATTTAAAGTGTTGAAAGACAAAAAAAGCCAAAGTGAAAATTTATAGTCATCAGCATTGTCCTTCAAAAGTTAAGAATAAAGAGTTTCTCAGACAAACAAACCTGAGAGAATTTATTGTCATCAGGTCTGCCCTTTAAGAGATGTTCAAAAAGAAGTTCTTCAGGTAGAAAGAAAATAATGTAAGCCAGAAACTGAGATCTACGTAAAGAAAGAAAGAATATCAGAGAAGGAATAAATGTAGATAAAATAACATCTTTTATTTTTCTTGTACTTATTCAAGATAGTAGTGTAAATTAATAAAAGTAGCAAAGTATTGGGTGATTACAGCATATGTATGAGTGAAATGAATGACAGTAATGTCATAGGAATAGGAAGAAAATGGGTACATTCTGTTATAAGGTATGTGCACTATACATAAAGTGGAATAGCGCTATTTGAAGAAAGGCTTAGATCAGTCTAAATGTATATTTTGAACTCCAAGACAACTATTAATTTTTTTAAACCAAGTATAATTGATATGCTAAGAGAGAATAGAAAATAGAATAACATAAAATGTTCAATTAAAATCAGAAAAGATAGAAAAGGTTGGGGGAAACAAAGTAAATGAAGTAAAGAGAAAGCTTTTAAAAACATGGTAGAATGTTAATCCAACTACATAAATAATTACTTTGAATTTGAATGGTCTAAATAAAACAAACAGATGAAATTATCAGAGTGGATCTAGAAAATAAAACCCAACTATATTTTAGCCTACCAAAAACCCACTTTAAATATAAAGGCATGCATAGGTTAAAACATGCATAGTAAAGGGATAAAGAAAGAAATACCATGCTAACATTAATCAAAAGAAAGCTGCAGTAGCTATATTCATCTGAGAGAAAGCAGACGGCAGAATAAGAAAATTTATCATGAATGAAGAGGGACATTGCATAATGCAACGGTTTCTTCAAAAAGACATAACCATCCTAAATATATGTGCAACTAACAACAGAGCTTCAAATTATGTGAGGCAAAAACTTATAAAACCAAAGGGAGAAATAGAAAAACCCACTATTACGGTTGGAGATTTCAACACTAGATCAAGCTAGCAGAAAATTACTAAGAATACAGTTGATATGAACAGTACTATCAATCAACTTGGTCTGATTGACATTTATAAAATATTCAGCCAACAGCAGAATGTATATTCTTCTCAAGCTCACCTGGACCACTTACCAAGATAGACCACATTATGGGCCATTAAAACATCTTATGAAATATGAAAGAATATAAATCATATAAAGCATTGTCTCAGATCACAGTAAAATCAACCAAGAAATCAATAACAGAAGATAGCTGGATAATATGCTTCTAAGTAACACATGGGTCAAATAAAAAGTCTCAAGAAATATTAACAATATTTTGAACTAAATAAAAATGAATACACAATTTACCAAAATTTGTAAAATGCAGTGGAGGCAGTGCATAGAAGGAAATTTATAGCATTAAATGCATATATTAGAAAGGAGGAAATATCTGAAATCAATAATCTAAGTATCTAACTTAGAAAACTCAAGGAAAAATCAGTTAATCTTAAAGAAAGAAGAAAATTAAAAATTAGAATAAAAAATAAAAGAAATTTAAAACAGGAAATTGTACAGACAATAAAATATAAAAAATGGTTCTTTGAAAAGATTAATAAATTTGATAAGTCCCTCAATAGGCTAACTATAAATAAGAGAGAAGACACAAATTACCAATGTGTGAAATGAAGGAAAGTCATCACTACAATCCCGTGAACATTGAAAGGATAATACAACAATCCTATGAACAACTGAATGACTACAAGTTTCATAAGTTGGATGAATTTGACCAATTTCTTGAAAGACACAAACTACCACATCTCATGCAAGAATAAATAGGCATTCTTAATAGACCTATATATATTTTTAATTGAATAGATAATTAATAAGCTGAAAATATCAGACCTAGATAGTTTTTCAGATTGTTTTAAAGGTATATTCCACTAAGCCTTTAAAGAATAATGATACAAATTCTCCACACTTCTTCAGCAGAATAAAGTCTTATTAACTTATCCAAGAGGTCGGCAAAACCTTAATAACAAACCAGGTAGACATTAAAATTAAAAAAAAAAAAAACATAGACAGTTATCTCTCAATCAACTGAGATTTACTCCAGGAATGCAAGGCTCTACAGTCAAATCTTGGGCTACTTCATTCATGGCCCCATTATGTACACATTGAAGAGGCTGAGGATAGAGACTGGTTTATGTCCATTGGATGAATCATCCTGTCAACCTAGTTGTTTAATGTTTTTCTGCAGTGGATGCTCTCTGGTGAACCTTAATCTTATCATACATGGATCCTCACACTTTGTGCATACCTCCATTCATATCCCTCTTTCTCAGACTTCTTTGTGGCTAACCTTTCAATCTAGTTCTTTCTTGGTCCAGACTACTGAGGTAAACCCTTTGTCACTGTTCATAAATCCTTGTAAATGCTTACTTTAGGCTACTTTCTTCTTCACACAAAGTGGGCAAGCAGGTGTTCCACCACAGCTCTGCACACTGGAAGATTTCCTCTCACCACTTTCTTTTAGGATACTCCTGAGTGGGCATGAAGAGTAGCAGCAATAAATGTTCAGCTTATACCAACATAATGAGAAAACATCTAAAACAAGGCACAGATTCTTCCCCCAGAGGTTATATGTACCTAAGAAATAGAAACAAAACAAAGCATATGCAACAAATATAAAACAAGGAGCAAGTGACTGATTGAATTGAACCACTAAGCAATTACATTAAGTAAAAGTAGTATAAATACTCCAAATAAAATATAGAGATTGTCAGAGTGAGTTAAAAAGCATGACAAATATATGATCTTTTACATAAAGGCACTTTATATGTTAAGATAGACATAGATTAAAAGTCAAAATATGAAATAAGACATATACAATGTAACTAGCAATCAAAAGAAAGTTGAATGTCCCTGCCATAAGGCTTTTGTAGTAGCTGTTTCCTCTGCCTAGAAGGCTCATAACCAAAGTTCCCATGGGTCACCCTCTCACTTCCTTTAAAACTTTTCTCAAATATCATCGCTTAGTGAGGACCATCATGGTCATTCCTTTGTTTAAAAGTGAAAAACAAATCACCACCTCCCTGCTGTGTTCTCAATCTTCTTATTCTTTTCTATGTTATTTTTTTATAGTGCTGATTACCTCACAATGTATTATTTACTGAAATACTATGATGACTGTTCATTGTTTGTCTTTCTGGAAAGGAGGTAAGTGTTACAAGGGCAAAAGTCTTTATTTTATTCGCTAACATCGCCCCTGTACCTAGTTCCCAGTTCTGAGTCAGGCATGCAACTAATAATTGTTGAATACTCGCCAAATTAAAGTAAAATGAGCAAGAATTGGAAAAAAAGGAAAGTTGAAATGACTATGTTAACATTGGTTAAAAACTTCCAGAAAAAGGTAACAAACAGAAATGAAAAGGAACACCACATATGATCAAAGAGTCATGATATCATGAAAACATAATAATCTGATATGTATATGTGTAACAGCAGAGCTTCAAAATACATAAATCAAACTTTACATAACAGAAAGGAAAAATAGCCGTGTCTACAATATAGCTGGAGATTTTAACAGTTCTCTCTTGGTAATTGATAAAATAAATAGACAGAAATCAATAACGGATATAAAGGATAAAAAAATCTGACATACAGAGAACACTACAACCACCAAATTCTAACCCTAATGAGATACCATTGGACATCAATTAGAATGGCTAAAATTAAAAACCAAACAAAACCTTGCCAAAAACTGTTGGTGAGGATGTTAAACAACTAGGACTCTTAGGTTTAACTATTGAGAATGCAAAATGGTACAACTGATATGGTTTGCCTGTGTCCTCACCGAAAATCTCATCTTGAATTGTAATCTTCAAAATCCCCATAATCCCCACTCATCAAGGGATTGATCAGGTAGAGGTAATTGAATTATGGGGGCGGTTAGCCCTATGCTGTTCTCATGATAGTGAATGCGTTCTCTCAAGATCTGATGGTTTTATAATTGTTCGGTAGTTTCTCCTGCATTCATTCTCTCTCTTGCCACCATGTGAAGAAGGTGCCTGCCTCCCCTTCAACTTCTGCCATGATTGTACGTTTCCTGAGGTCTCCCCAGACATACGGAATTGTGAGTCAATTAAACCTCTTTCATTTATAAATTACCCAGTTTCAGGAAGTTCTTTATAGCAGTATGAAAACAGACTAATAAATCAACCAATTTGGAAATTACTTTGGCAGTTATTATAAAGTTAAACATAAATATAGCATAGGATCCAGTATTTAATACTTATTTATTTACTCAAGGAAATGAAAATCCATGTCCACACAAAGACTTGTACATAATTTTTCATAAATTAATGGTTTATGCATCATAAGCCAAAGCTGGAGTATTAAAATGCCCAACAGCAAGTGAATAAACAAATTTTTACATTCATATAGTTGAAATGTTATTCAGAAATAAAAATAGAGATTGCTGATACACACAAAAACATAAACAAACCCGAAACACAGGCACAGCCAGAGAAGTCAGACACAAAAGAGTATATAATATATGTTTCTATTTACAGGCAATTCTATAAATGACCAAGCTAAGCTATAGCTAAATAAAGAAAGCTGATCAGTATGTGCCTGGGAGTAGATGTATCTGCAGGGAATGAGGAAATATTTTTGTTGTTATGAAGTATCTTGTCTCTTGATAGTGGTGGTGTTCCCACCAGTATATATACTTGTCATAGCTCATTGAACTGTACACTTAAAATGGGTATGGTTTATTGAATAAAAATTAAAACTCAATAAAAAGAATGGCAAAAGAGTCATCAGGAAGAGAATGTAAAATTAAAATGTGGTATACTCACACAAACGAGCCCTGTGCATTAATGAGTATCAATGATCAAAACTACACACAATACTATTGATGAATTTCACAAACAAAATATTGACAGATAGAAGCCAGAAAAAGCAGAGCTTGTATTTTATTATTTCGGTTATATACAGTTCAAAACATTTACACTGAATCTCTGCTATTAGAAGTTAGGATGCTATTCACCTTTGAGTGTAGAGCTGTAATAGAAAGAGCCCCAAAGAGGGCTTCTAGGGTGCTGGAGCTGTTCTCTGCCTTGATCTGCAGTGTCACACCCTGGTATAAAACAGAGTATGACAAAAGTTCTGTTGAGAATGAAGAGCAACAGGAACCCATAAACATTGCTGATGGAGATGCAGACGTACTATAGCCGCTCTGGAAACCATTTCATGGTTTCTGAAAAGCTAACATACACTCATGTGAGCCACACATCACACTTCTGGGTATGTATCCTAGAGAAAGGAAACATGTCATTCAAAACCTGTGCATGCAGGTTTACAGCAGCATTATTTATAGTTGTTCACACTTGGAAACAATCCAGATGTTTTACAGGGATAAATGGGTAAATAAATTGTCGTACATCCACACAATGGAATGCTACTCAGCAATAAAATTAACTATTGAAGCATACAACAATATGAATGAATCTCAAGTACATTGTGCTAAATTAAGATTTCTCAACAGCAGGGCTCTTGACTTTTTTGGGCCGAATGACTTGTAGGGCATCCTGTGCACTGTAGGTTATTTTGTTGCATCCTTGGACTTTATCCACTAGATGACAGTAACACTCTTCCCTGACAAGTTAACTAACAAGGTCTCCAGACATTGCCCAATGTCCCTGATTCTCAGTGTGCTAAGTAAAAGAACCTAGTCTCAAAAACTTACATTTTATATGATTCTATTTATATGACATTATGGAAAAGTAAAAAAATGTAAGACAGAAAACTTGTCAGTGGTTGTTAAGGATTAGGAAGGGGGAGACTGAATACAAAGGGACAGGAAAAGAGAATTATTCAGGGTGTTAGAATTGTTCCATATCCTCTGTGTCATGAATACAGACCAATGCATACTGATCTATGCAAGTGTAAGTATATACATAATTCTCTGTAAGTATAGTACAATACAGTATGTAATGTTTTAAAAATTAAAGTAATAAAAGCAAACAAAACAAAACTAAGTGGTATTTAAAGCTGAAAAGTATAACTATAGTATAAATGGAAAAGAATCTTTTCACTCTTCAATTAGGAGGTGATCTTAGCAGAAGGGTTTTGGTGAGGTTGGTAAGGATAGCAAGGTTGAGCCAGTCCTGTAGGACATGCAGCGAGCTCAAGTTAAGGACAGTGAAAGTTAAGGACAATGAAAGTAGAAGGACCTGTCCTGCCCTGTCTGGAGTGTATGATACTATCCTAGAACTTTGATTTATGGGAAGGCTACAGAGGACAAGTAGAGACAAAAAGCAGCCCTCCTAACAGGCTGAAGATGGAGTAGAATAGGTAAATGACCTTGTGCTGAAGAAGGTCAGCCCAATGTGGACCCTGGGTTAGTCAATGGAGGACATTCCCCATGGCAAAGGCAACCAGAATTCATGCTGTACTCACAGTGCAATGTATGCTTTAGTCTCTCTCAGGGGTTTGTTGTGCAGCCCCAGCAAGGGAATCTAAGACACAGTTATCAGGTTGTGGATTACCAAGCTGTATTTTTCAGAGGTGCATTCTTAGGTGGTCTCCATAGATCCCATAACTCCCATTTTAGGGCTCTTTCCATGAAGCCATTTGGTTGCCCTGCTCCCTAAGTATTACAAAGGCTAGAATTGTTCTTAAAGCTTCTCTGATCTGTTGTCTGGAGAGAATCATGTTTGTTCCAGGGACTTTCTAAAGGATTTTAAGTTAGGGTAGATTGTACCAGAGAAATGAGTCAGCCTTTTCCAGGATCATGAAGTGTTAGCACATCTGATCTCCCGGAGGGTCAGGAGAGTGAATGGTCACTGGGTTAACTGCTGTCCTAGGTTTATCATATTCTGTATTCTATTCCTTTTCTAGGAGACCACTTGGAGCCACATAGGACAGATGACCCGCAAATCACACATGAAGCAAGGAGATTAATAACAGAGATTGTACTTTGCAGAGGATGGAAGTGTCAAAGGTAACCTAGATCTTCTATTAAAGGGCTACGAGTCAAAAAACTAGGCTGAGGAATGAATCAAGCCAAGTGTGAGGAGCAGTGGGGGAATGAATATAAGGCGTTGTCCTGATTAATTTTGGAGATAAAATTACATTTCCAAGATTGGGTCTTTTTGAGCCCCAGTCTTCATCAGCCTGGGGAAAGCAAATCATTTAGAGATTCGTGAACGAGACAGATGCAAAAGCTGGGAGTATAGATTGTGAACTAAAAAATTCCAGTGACACCATTCACATAATGTTTATATAAATGACACCTCTGCAGTGATGTTTCAGTTGTGTAATGCTCCCCTCTCAGTAGATGGATTTCAGGAACATATGAGTAGTCAAGGCAAGAAATACAGAAGCAGGAGAAGAGAGAGTGAGGACACTTAAGTAATACTGTGATCAAACAGTTTATTGTCAAACTAGATCATTTTTCAAAGGAAAAGGAAAACTATTATAACTACACAAGAACAACATTTAAAACAGTGCTGTACTGCACAACTGCTTACCTCAGCTATCCCCACTAAACAGGGCCTGCCTTCTGTGTCAGGTCAGTCTACTCCTGCATGTGCATTTTGGTTATGACCAGGCGTTCTCCTGAGAACTCAGCTCCCTAAGAGCCCCTGCCACCCCCTGGGCCAGGGAGGGAGCAGAGAAAACTAGGCACCTTTGTGTGCCCCCAACAGTGAAATCCACCACTGCTCTTGCAGGAGGAAAGTACAGATTATCCACCCCATGGCTGCCAGCCTCCATTGCTCCAGCTGAGTAGTTCTGCCTTCCCCAGTGAAAGGCCAACAGCACAGATGCCCTGGTTTCATCTGACCATTTCAACTACTTACAGAAGCAAAGCTGGAAGACCCAGCCCAACACACTCTACAGCCACAGTCTCAAGGACGGGGTGGGAAATCCCATCCAAGCGAAAATAAATTCAAAAATAAGAAGTGACAGCTTGGGTCGGGCACAGTGGCTCATGCCTGTAACCCCAACACTTTGGGAGGCCAAGGCTGGTGGATCACTTGAGGTTAGGAGTTCGAGACCAGCTTGGCCAACACGGTAAAACCCTATCTCTACTAAAAATACAAAAATTAGCCAGGCATGGTGGCATGCACTTCTAATCCCAGTTACTCAGGAGGCTGAGGCAGGAGAATCACTTGAACCCAGGAGGTGAAGGTTGCAATGAGCCAAGATCGAACCACAGCACTCCAGCCTGGGTGACAGAGAGAGATTCCCCCTCAAAAAAAAAAAAAAAAAAAAAAAAAAAAATGGAGTGACAGTTTCTGCAAATGAGAAGAAACAAACACAAGAACTCCAACACCATCAAGAAACAGAATATTATCCTAGTCAGAATGAAAATTTTGAAATGACAGATAAAGAATTCAAAATATAGATTGTAAGGAAGCTCAATGATATCCCAGAGAAAGTTGAAAATCAACACAAAGAAAACAGAAAAACAGTCCAGGAGATACAAGATGATGTAGATTTATTTAAAAACAGCAACAACAACAAAACCCCCAGAACTCCTGGAAATGAAATATTGACTAAAAGAACTTCAGAACACAGTTGAAAGTTGTAACAAGAGACAAGACCAAGAAGAAGAAAGAATTTCAGAGCTCAAAGACTAGTATTTCAAATTAACAAAGTCAGATAAAAATAAAGAAGAAATTTTTGGAAAATGAACAAAGCCTTTGAGAAATATGGGATTATGTAAAGCAACAAAACCTATGACCTATAGGTATTCTTAGGAAGAAAAAGAAAAAGTAAGAAGTTTGGAAAATATATTTGAGGGAATAATTTAGGAAACTGTCCCCAATCTTTTTAGAGACATAGACATCCAGATACAAGGAATTCAGAGAACAGCTAGAAAATGCTATGCAAAACAAACATCATCAAAATATATAGTCACCAGACTATCCAAGGTTAATATGAAGGGGCAAATCTTAAAAGCAGTTAGAGAGAAGCATCAAATCACCTATAACGGAAATCCCATCAGGCTAACAGTGGACTTCTCAGAAACCTTACAAGCTAGAAGAGATTAGGGGCCAACTTTTAGCCTCCTTTAAGAAAAAAGTCTAAGCCAAGAATTTTATATCCTGTCAAACAAAGCTTCATAAACAAAGGAGAAATAAAGTAAGTCCCAGAGAAGCAAATGCTAAAGGAATTCGTTGCCACTAGACCAGACCTACAAGAAATGCTCAAAGTAGTTCTATACATGCACATGAAAAGATGATACTCAACATCGTAAAAGCACACATAAGTAGAAAGCACACACATCCTACAAAGCCTTGTTAGCTAGTTGCCTTGAAGTCTCAAATACACAACTGAGACTTCAAGACAACCAGCTAACAAGACTATGATAGGAACAAAACCTCACACATCAATATTAACATTGAACATCAAAGGCCTAAATGCTCTACATAAAAGATATAGACTGGCCAACTGAATAATAAAAAAACAAGAGCCAATCATCTTCTGCTTACAAGAGAGCCACCTATTGGCTAAAGACATGTACCAGCTCAAATAAAGGGATGGAAAAATATGTATCATGCAAATGGAAAACAAAAGCAAGCAGGAGTAGCCATTCTTATATCAGATAAGCCAGACTTTAAATCAACAATAGTTTAAAAAAAGGATAAAGAAGGGCATTATATAATGATAAAGGGTTCAATGCAACAAAAAGATTTAACTATCCTAAATATATATGTGCCTAACACTAGAGCACGAAGATTTCATAAAACAAATGCTACAAGACCTAAGAAAATAGACTGACAGCAATGCAACAATAGTAGGGGACCTCAACACCCCACTGATAACACAGAAAGCCAACAAAGAAACTCTGGACTGTAACTAGACTTTAGAACAAATAGACCTAATAGACATGTACAGAACATTCCATTCAAAACTCACAACATATACATTTTTCTCATCTGTGAAAAGAACATTCTCAAAAAAGACCACATGCTTGGCCATAAAACAAATATCTACAAATTTAAAAAATTAAAATTATGTCAAACATCTTCTCTGACCGTGGGATAAAATTAGAAATTAATACCAAGAGGAACTCTCAAAACTACAGAAGTCCATGGAAACTAAACATCTTGGTCCTGAATGACTTTTGAGTAACCAATGAAATTAAGACAGAAATCAAAAAATTTTTGAAACAAATGAAAATAGAGACAAAACATACCAAAAACATCTCAGATATAGCAATAGCAGTGTTAAGAGAAAAGTTTATAGTGTTAAATGCCTACATCAAAAAATAAAGTTATCAAATTAACAAGCTAACATTACACTTCAAGGAACTAGAAAAACAAGAACAAACCAAACCCAAAGCTAGCAGAAGAAAAGAAATAACAAAGATCAGGACAGAACTAAAGGGGATTATGAACAACAACAACAACAAAAAACGATGATACAAAGTATCAACAAAACAAAAAGCTGGTTCTTTACAAAGATAAACAAAATTGATAAAACACTAGCCAGTTTAAGAAAAAAGGAGAGATGATTCAAATAAGCATGATCAGAAATGATAAAGGTGATATTGAAATTGATACCATAGAAATGCAAAAGATAATCAGAGTTCATAATGAACATCCCTACATCCACAAACTAGAAAACCTAGAGAAAATGGATAAATTCCTGAAAATATACCTCCCAAAATTGAACCAGGAACAAACTAGGCATCAAAGGAATAAAACTCAAAATAATAAAAGCCATATATGAAAAATCCATAGCCATTATCAACCGAATAGAGAAAAGTTGAAAGCATTCTCCGCTATGAACTTGAATGAGACAAAGATGTCCGCTCTCACAACCCCAATTCAGCATATTACCAGAAGTCTTAGCCAGAGCATTCAGGCAAGAGAGAGAAATAAAAGACATCCAAATTGAAAAAAGAGGAAGTCAAATTATGTGTATGCACTGATTACATGTTCATATACCTAGAAAATTCAAACGACTTCTCCAAAAGATTCCTAGACTTGATAAACAACTTCATAAAATTTCAGGATACAAAATTTATATACAAAAATCAGTAGCATTTCTATACACCAATAACATTCAAGCTGAGACCCAAATCAAAAGCTCAATCCCATTACAATAGCCACACACACACACACACACACACACACACACTAACAAAACATACCTAGGAATATATTTAACCAAGAAGGTGGAAGATCTCTACCAGGAGAACTACAAAACACTGAAAAAAGAAATCATAGCTGACACAAACAAATGGAAAAACATCCCATGCTCATGAATTGGAAGATCAGTATCGTTAAAATGACCACACTGCCCATAGCAGTCTATAGATTCAACACAATTTCTATGAAATTACCAACATAATTATTTGCAGAATTAGAAAAAAGCAATCCTAAATTCATATGGAACCAAAAAGGACACTGAATAGCTGAAGCAATTTTAAGTAAAAAGAACAAAGCTGGAGGCATCGCATTATCTGACTTCAAATTATATTACAAGGCTAAAAATAAAGTTATCAAAAACAAAAACAGCATTATACTGATATAAAAAAAAGACACATAAACCAATGGAACAGAGTAGAGCACCCAGAAATAAAGCCACACACCCATAACCAGCTGATCTTCAACAAAGTTGCCAAAAAACAAAAAACAAAAAAACACCAAGGGAAAAGGACACCCTGTTCAATAAACAGGGCTGGGAAAATTGGCTGGCCATATGCAGAAACATGAAATTGGATCCCTATTTCTCACCATATACAAAAATTAACTCAAGGTGAATTAAAGACTCAAATGTAAGACCATAATGTATAAAGGTCCTACAAGAAAACCTAGGAAAAACTCTTCTGGACATTGACATAGGTAAAGAATTTATAACTAAGACCTCAAAATCAAAACCCCAGACAGACATATGGGGCTTAATTAAACTAAAATCTTCTGCACAGCAAAATAAATAATCAACACAGTAAACAGACAACGAAGAGAATGGGAAAAAATGTTTGCAAATTATGCCTCCGATAAAGGACTAATATCCAGGATCTACAAGGAACTGAAACAACAGGAAAAAATAAATTAACAGGTGGGTAAAGGACATGAACAATTTCTCAAAATGTACAAGTGGCCAAAATGAGTATGAAGAAAATGTTCAACCTCACTAATCATCTGCATATTGCAAATTAAAACCACAATGAGATAATCGTCTTACATAAATCAGATGGCTATTATTAAAAAGTCAAAAAATAACAGATGTTGGCAAGGATGCGGAGAAAAGGGAACACTTATACGCTGTTGGTAGGAAGGGAAATTAGTATAACCTTAATGGAAAAGAGTATGGAGATTTCTCAAAGAACTAAAAATAGAACTACCATTCGACCCAGCAATCCCACTACTGGGCATCTATCTGAAGGGAAAAAAAAATATTACATTAAAAACTCACCGGCCGGGCGCGGTGGCTCACGCCTGTATTCCCAGAACTTTGGGAGGCCAAGGCAGGTGGATCACCTGAGGTCGGGAGTTCGAGACCAGCCTGACCAACATGGAGAAACAAGTTGTATAAATAAACATGTTAACATAAACAGTAATGTCTACTAAAAACACAAAAGTAGCCAGGCGGGGTGGTGCATGCCTGTAATCCCAGCTACTCGGGAGGCTGAGTCAGGAGAATTGCTTGAACCTGGGAGGTGGAGGTTGCAGTGAGCTGAGATCGCGACATTGCACTCCAGCCTGGGCAACAAGAGCAAAACTCCATCTTATTTAAAAAAAAAAAAAATTACCTGCTCTCATATGTTTATTGCAGCACTATCCACAATAGCAAAGTCATGGAATCAAACTGTGTCTGTCAATGATTGCTTGGATACAGAAAACATGGTATATATACACTATGGAATACTACTCAGTCATAAAAATGAATGAAATCATGTCCTTTGCAACAACCCAGATGGAACTGGAGGTCATTATCCTAATTAGAATAAAACAGAAAACAGAAAATCAAATACAGCATGTTCTTCCTTTTATGTGGGAGCTAATAATGGGTACACATGAACATAAAGGTCAAAGTAATAGATACCAGGGACTCCAAAAGTCGGAGTATGGGGTGGGTATGAGGGTTAAAAAACTTACCCGCCAGGCGTGGTGGCGCGTGCCTGTAGTCCCAGCTGCTCGGGAGGCTGAGGGAGGTGAATTGCTTGAACCTGGGAGGCAGAGGTTGCAGTGAGCTGAGATCAAGTCACTGCACTCCAGCCTGGGTGACAGAGTGAGACTCCTTCTCAAAAAAAATTACCTGCTGTGTACGTGTGAACTATTTGGGTGATGGGTACACACCAAGCCCAAATCTCATCATTATGCATTATATCCATGTAACAAACCTGCGCATACACCCCTTCAATCTAAAATAAAAAATAAAATGAAACAGGATTGTTCTGGACAAATAGTAATTGCACATTCATCAAAATGTTTTCTGTGCTGCATTTGGCCCAGAAGATTTTTTTTGCTACTTGTCACCCCCGAAGGCTATGAAATGTCATCCAAAGAAGCAGCAGAGACTGGGCGCGGTGGCTCACACCTGTAATCCCAGCACTTTGGGAGGCCAAGGCAGGAGGATCACCTGAGGTCTGGAATTTGAGACCAGCCTGGACAACATGGCGCAACCCCGTCTCTACTAAATATACAAAAATTAGTCAGGTGTGGTGGCACGTGCCTGTAATCCCAACTACTTGGGAGGCTGAGGCAGGGAAATTGCTTGAACCCAAGAGGTGGATGTTTCAGTGAGCCGAGATCGTGCCTTTGTACTCCAGACTGAGCGACAGCTCAAAAAAAAAAAAAAAAAAAAAAAAAAAAAGAAGCAGAAGGTATCTGAGAAGCATTGCAAGGACACGACTAGAGTCTTCAGTTCTTGTTCTTTCTGCATTGCCCATAGGAGCCCGAGTGATTCACTCTTCTCCTCATTTCTCACAGGTGTGGTTTGCAGCTCTTCCACCATCCCCTCACTACCGGGACGAGCTGTGATTTAGCAAGGCTAGTAAAAGTCTGATACCCAGAATATGTGTCCTTAATTGTCCCTCCCAGGCCCAACCACAAATGGATTCTCATCTCTAACCCTGGGATGCTTAACCTCATTATGAAGCATCAGTGATACTTTTGCCATCATTTCTTTTTTCTGATGTTTTTAAAACCAGGATTTATAACTCGCAAACAGGTTTGCTCTTAATGACTTAATCATTCAAATGCTGTTTTGGCTGAGGATACTTCCCAGTATGTGATAACCAGGGCTGTCTTTATTTACAAGATCAGCCAAATGTTGTTTTGATTTAACGTGACTCTCGCATGCAGCAGTGTACTAAATACATGTCAACTGACTGGCATATCATAGGGGCTGCCTTGATAAAGGTTGCCTATCATCTGACATGTGATAGGGCTCAGCTGGCTTTAGATTTAAAGTGCCTACTTATCTGCAGGTGACAGCCATCAAAATCAAGTGTGAGGTGCTGAACAAATTAGGGCAGTGGCTCTCCAACTTGAGTGTGTACCTGCATCACCCGGAGGGTTTGTTAAACCATAGATTTCTGACCCCCTGCTCCCAGAGACCCTGATTTATTAAGTCTGAAAAGGGACTTAGGATTTTGCACTTCTAACTGGTTCCCAGGTGAAATGAATGCTGCTGTTCTGGGGAACCATACTTTGAAAACCACTCTCTTAGCATTATTCAATAACAGCATCACTCACCCAGTGTGACCACAGCAATTTTTTTCCTCCTTTTGAAAAAAATCAGCAGTCGTTTTGTTTGAAGACAGCGAACTAAATGATGAGTTACATGTATTATTTACTATAGTACCAGTTTAGTAGTGGCACCAACATTCTGCAATATCATGCAATTTCTGCCAAGGTTGCTTCATGAATGAAATACAAAAGCTGAATGGGCAAGTTAAAGTCAATTCGAATATTTGAGAGCTTACTCTGAGCTAGGCACTGTGGTATGAACCCGAAAAGAACTAAGACCCTGTTTGCTTTTAGGAAAACCTACAATGTGGAGACCTTACCTTATGGGTCCTCTGAGAGTCACACTAGTAAAATCCTCACACAGTGGATGGGATTCACACCAGCTGTGGGAGGAAACCAAGAGATCATTTAAGGACCATAGGGGCAAAGAGTTTGAGAACATTTGACACTGAATCAGTATGATACGTTAGCAAAGGAGACAGGTGGTAATATAGAAAGCAATGCCCTGATCCACTGTATCATCTTCTGTTGGGTGAAAGAACACATGGACAGAAGAAAGATGGCCATCACAGACAAGGAAATTCAACAACACTGACCTCCTAACTCTTCCCATAGAAGGGTCGTCTCTGCCTATAATAGATAAGGCCCTACAGTAGAAGTGGTTCCATTTGAAAAGCCTGTGCTGATGCTAGTAATACATTTTGTTAATTTACCTAGTAAATCTCATCTCTACCCTGATTCATGCAGACTTCTGACCATACTAGTGTCTGAGCATGCCAGTGTATAATTTGTTCATAACTTGCCATTCTGCTCACCTTTTAAAACTTGGTGGAATTGGCTATCATCAGAAAGCATCCTTAAGAACTATATGGTCTGGAGTACTTAGAAAATTGATTTCCTGGGTCTGTGAGGCTAAGAACCGGAGTCTAGAATGTGCTGACCCAGCTCAATGTGCAGAGGTGGCAGGTAGACTCAGGTGGCAAGTTGGCAGCTGGCCTGCAGACTGATAATGTCCCAACCTGCCTTATGCTTCTTGAAAATGAAACCCTATTCATAAATAGAAAGAAGACACAGACACAAATAGCGATAAGCATCATAATGGATGTTTACAAGTAAGTGATACAGGGGCTCAACAGGAGATTCAATTGTTTCAGAGTACCTGCAAAGACTTCACATAGAAGATAGCATTTGAGATGTACTGAAAAGGACACAACAACTCTCTATAGGCAAAGATGGAGCGGTTCAGGTCCCAGACAGAGGGACCAGTCAAGCTCTTATAATTCCATTTGCATACTACTTGGTTAGGACAAATGGTTATTTGGCCAATGTCACGCTATGTTCTGGAGGACTTGGAAAGCTTTCTGCTTGAGGGCTACTGGTTTTATCATGAATGATCTCAAGGGGTCTTTTTGAATGCTTGTATTTTTCCTTGATCACACCTCACTCCAGCATGATTTGGAGTGAGGCAGAGAAGGAGAATCTACCAAGAAACTAAAAATTATACAACTTAGCTGACTCATTTAGGAAATTGCAGCCACATTCCAGGAAGTAGATATAACAGGAAAGATTTTAACTAGTAACAGATGCAGATGTTCGTTCTTTATTATATTTCCAACTACAGGAGTTCAAATATGCTGATAGGTCCCTGGAGGTTTGTGTCAACTTAGAAAAAGCACAAAACCATTCATTAAATTTTTCTGGCTTAATTTTTAAGAAATTTGGGGACCTCAGCTTGGATCTGCTTTAAAACCAAGACTTGAGGTGTGGGATTTATTGGAGAAACAATTTCCAAACTGAATGAAATTCTCAAATTCTTAAAGGATCTTCTGAACATTTTATTTGGCATCTTTCATCATTTCTAGAGGAAAGTAGTGTAGACCAATGGTTAAAAACCTGTACTTGGGGGTCATGCTATCGTGGGTTTAAAACCTTGCTCTACCACTTTCTAGTTGTGTGTACTTGAGCAATTTTCATAACCTTTATGAGCCTTGCTTTCCTTATCAATAAAGTGGGATCATAATAGTACCTCCCTCAAAGGGTTGTGAAATTAATTAGGGTACTATATATCTATTAATAACTACAGTAATTATCCGGGGGAGAGGGAAGACAGCTTGAGATGTCTGTGTGATTTTGAGCAAGTTATAGATATAGGCTTGCTAGAGCTGAGAAGGAGCCGAGGAAGCTTTTGGTTCAATTTACAGATAATGAAATGAAGTTCAAGAGATAGCCAATGTCACAGAGATTCTTTATACCTGGGTGAAGACCAAGATCATAGTACTGAGCAGGATTCTCTTAATTGCTCAGTACCCATTTTGTTAATAGCCTACCTCTTCTAGAAAAAATGCTTGGGTTTTTTAACTCTACTATGCAAATTAACTTGGTGCAGATTGATACTGTAACTGCCCAGGGGTTTCTTCCTGTCCACTGAATAAAGAAAGACCATGACATTATAGTGGAGAAAGAGTTTAGTAGACAAAAGGCCATCCATGCCACATGGGAGATAGAGTTCGTACTCAAATCACGTTGTTCAAAGCTTGTAGGTTAGGGGTTTTTTAACGGCAGTTTGGGAGAAGGGGTGGGAATGGCCAGGTAACAGGTGCTTACTGCTGATTGATTGGGGCAGAGATGGAATCATAGGGGGTTGATGCTGTCCTCCTGCAGGCTGAATTGCTTCTGGGTGAGGCCACAGGAGTGGGGTTGTCGGTCCAGATGCAGCCATTGGGTCCAGGTGGAGTCGTAGGGGTCAGACATGCAAAAAAACCTGGAAAGAGATCTCAAAAGGCCAATCTACAATAGCGGTGTTATTTGTAGGAGTAATTGAAGGAAGTTGTATATCTTATAACCTCTGAATAATTTCTGCACTTTAGCAGGACCCAGGTTCCTCTCCTTCCCTCAGCCTGGAGGCCTCCTATTAGTTTTACAAAAGAAGTAGAGTTTTGGGCGAGGCCTATTATCATTTAAAATGAAGCCTAAATGTCTTCCAAAGTTAGCTTGGCCCTGTAGCCCAGGAACAGTTCAGGAAAAGGCAAGATGGGGGGTGGGTTAGCTTAGCTTACAGTTATAATTTTCTCACTGATATAAGTTTTGCAAAGGCTGTTTCAATACCCTAAAAATCCACAACCCTTGTCGTGTTCCCTTTCAGAGCCCTTCAGTTGCTCTCTTCAAACTTTCATCTCTTCTTCCCGCCCACCCTGAGCACACAGTTGTACTTCCAGTGTGTATTTCACACACACATACAAAATGCTCAATCCATGAAACCTTTAACTTTATGCCCTTTTCATAAACTATTCTGCACTGGTTTTCCTCTTTGCCTCTTCTCTTTTTGCCTCATTTGCCTTTCTGAACTTTTCATCTCTTTTCCATGAAGGAGGGAGTAGACAATAGGGTCCAATACTGGAGCGAGGATCTAAAAACTAAATATTGGCTGTTGGCTTTTGTGTTCTGGAAGTCTTAGTTTGGTACCCAATTTCTTTATCTTATTTATTCTGCCACCGTCAGAGGTGTTTGAACCAGAGTGACTCCATCTTGAATAGGGGCTGGGTAAAATGAGGCTGAGACCTACCGGGATGCATTCCCAGGTAGTTAGGCAGTCTTAGTCACAGAATGACATAGGAGGTCAACACAAGATATAGGTCACTTTTATCAGACCTTGCTAATAAAACAGTTTGCAGTAAAGAAACCAGCCAAAGCCCACCAAAGCAAAGATGGTGATGAAAGTGACCTCTGGTTATCCTCGCTGCTCATTATATGCTAATTATAATGCATTAGCATGCTAAAAGACACTCCCACCAGTGCCATGGCAGCTTACAAATGCCATGGCAATGTTTGGACCTTACCCTAAATGGTCTTAAAAGGGGAGGAGCCCTCAGTTCCAGAAATTGCCCATCCCTTTCTGGGAAAACTCATGAATAAGCCACCCCTTGTTTAGCATACAATCAATAAATAATCATAAAAATAGCCAGCCAGCAGCCTTCAGAGCTGCTCTGTTTATAGAGTAGCCATTCTTTTATTTCTTTAGTTTCCTAATAAACTTGCTTTCACTTTATGAACTCGCGGAATTCTTTCATGAGCAAGGTCCAAGAACTCTCTCTTGCCGTCTAGATTGGGACCCCTTTCCAGTAACACCACTAACAACTGCTTTTGCTAAATCATGGTGTTACCTCTGCAATCTTACAAACACTTCCTCATCTGAGTAGACTACTATGAAACATTTGATGCTGTTGGCAACCCCTGCTTCTCTAAAGTCCTCTTCCCACTTCATCTATCCTGTTTTCTTCTTACTTCTC
Source organism: Homo sapiens (assembly GCF_000001405.40). Classification (NCBI taxonomy): domain Eukaryota; kingdom Metazoa; phylum Chordata; class Mammalia; order Primates; family Hominidae; genus Homo; species Homo sapiens. Next base: position 94,122,594 of record NC_000015.10, on the reverse strand, counting down.
TGGCTGCTTGTTTTCCATATCAGCAATAAGGCTGTTTTCTTTTTTATCATTCACGTGTTCACTGGAATAGCACTATTCATTTCCTCCAACAACTTTTCCTTTGCATTCACAACTTGGCTAACCGATACAAGAGACCTAGCCTTTGGCCTACCTCTGCTTTTGACATGCCTTCCTTAGTAAGCTTAATCAATTCATGGAAAAATATGCAGCCATGAAAAGGAACAAGATCATGTCCTTTACTGGGACATGGATGAAGCTGGAAGCTGTTATCCTCAGCAAACTAACACAGGAACAGAAAACCAAACACAACATGTTCTCACTTATAAGAGGGAGCTGAGCAATGAGAACACATGGACACAGAGAGGGGAACAACACTTACTGGGGGCTGTCAGGGGAGGGCAGGGGGTGGGGATGGCATTAGAAAAAGAGCTAATGGATGCCCGGCTTAATACCTAGGTGATGGGTTGATGGGTGCAGCAAACCACCATGGAACACGTTTACCTATGTAACAAACCTGCACATCCTGCACATGTACCCCAGAACTTAAAAAGAAAATAGTGAGAGATGTAGTACTCTTCCTTTCCCTCAAACACTTAATTGGCCTAATTCCAATATTGTTATGTCTCAAGGAAGTAGGAGGCCTGGGGAGAAGGAGACAGAGGGGGCAACAACCCCCATCATAATATGCACACCATTCATCAATCACCTTTGCTGTCTTCTATGGGCATGGCTTGTGGCATCTCAAAACAACTGCAATAGTAACATCAAAAGTCAGTGATCATAGATCACCATAATGAATACAATTATAATGAAGTAGGTTGAAATATTGTGAGAATTGCCAAAATGTGACACAAAGACATGAAGTGGGCAAATGCTGTTAGAAAATGGTGCCAATGAACTTTCTCAATACAGGGTTCCAACAAACCTTTAATTTGTAAAACACACACACACATACACACAATATCTGCAAAGCAAAATAAAGCGATGTCCAATAGTCCAAACACAAACATTATTGTGTTTACTTATTGTAAACACAAGTTGGATATTGTCTCTCTCTGTGCAAATGCCCTGTGGCTCCTTTACATGATGAAATGTCCACTTTTTGGCAAGGTCTACAAGCCTATGGATGTGGTTCCTTGCTCCTTTGGGTCGTTTCCATTATTGTTTGCCAAAAACATAGTAGTCCTTATAGATTCTCAGAAATGGCATGCTCCTGCATGCCTTGGTACCATGTTGCATTTATTTTCTTTACTTAGAATGATATTTGCCTTCCACTCCCACATGTCTGCCTTGCAAGTACCTGGATCTTTCTTTATACACAGTTGACTCTTGAACGATGCAGGGGTTTAGAGGCACCAAACCCCTTGCAGTTGAAAATCTGCATATAATTTTTGATTCCTCAAAAATGTAAATACTAATAGTCTACTGTTGACCAAAAGCCTTACCAATAACATACAGTTGATTAACAAATATTTTGTGTATGTGTTACATACTGTATTCTTACAATGAAGTATGTTAGAGAAAAAAATGTTATTAAGACAATCATAAGGAAGAGAAAATATATTTGCTGTTCATTAAGTGGAAGTGGATGTAGATCATTATAAAAATTATCCTCTTCATTTTCATATTGAGTAGGCTGAGGAGAAGGAAGAAGAGGAGGGGTTGGTTTTATTGTCTCAGGAGTGGCAGAGGTGAAAAAAAAATCCACCGATAAGTGGATCCATGTAATTCAAACCCGTGTTGTCAAGGGTCAACAGTACGTTCCTTGAAAGCCACTGTGTTCTCACTGGAGAAAACTTGTGGGGATCCCTCTTCTGCTACCCTTTGGACGCTCTCGCATAATCTAAATTGCCTTTCTTACTTTAATTGCATGCTTGTATCTCCTCATTTAAGAGTGCACATCTTGAAGCAATGAGGGCTCTTTAATTTGAAATCAAAACTAACTCAGCACACTGCACCTAAACACTCAGCAAATTTTGAACACACAGATGAATGTAATCTAGTGCCACTAGCTGGCATGTTACCCAGGTTCATGAATCAGAGTGCTCACCAAGTCACCAAATGGGTTCTTAAAAATACAGATATTGGAGATCAGCCCAAGACACACTTAATCAGAGTTTCTGAGCTGGAATCCAAGACATGGGTTTCTGACAAGCACCTCCGTTGATTCTGAAGCAGCCAGCAAAAAACAGTCGAGAATCATTAATCCAAACCATTTCAGATGCATGATTGCGTTCTCTTATTCTCGAAGATAACTGGTTCTCAACTCTCTTGGGTACAAATCTGCATTTGTTTGTAGCACCAAGATTCTATGGCGTCATAGACATTGAACTGGTAATGTTGCAGCTATCCACAGATAATTAGCCACTGTTAGTGTCACTTGTGAACCGTTTGGTGGCTATTTCCATAGTCAAGTTAAGTTCCGGGCCTTTGAGCTCTTTAGTACACGTCATGCTGTCTTAGAATAGCCCACAAGATGGCAACATGATTTCATGAAATGGTGCTGGGGCTATTTCATGGACTTAGCCACAAGGTGACAGCATTGCACGGTGTTCTGAGTTGACTAGAAGGCTCCAAAAACTACTTAGACTGTTTTTCTAATTGAAAAAGCCTTATAACCCAACTTGATTTAAAAGCAAGCTTTACTTTCTCAGAATTTTCTAAAGGTGACTGTTTAAAAGATCACATCCACTATGGGATTTGTGTTGTTTCAGGTAAAACAGTATATCTCTTGACAGGTTAGTACCTGAAATGTGAGCAGAAATGTTTTTATAGGTTTGCTTTCTCATAAAATGAAAAATTTCCACGAATAGGATGACACAATCCATCTTTGTCAATGGTTAATGACTTCAGATGAGGGCTAGATGCAGGCTTTGAAAGGTTTGTAAGGTTTGTAACGATTTGTAAGGCACAAATCCATTCCCCTAGGGTGCAGTCCTTCAGGGGACCAAGGACACCAGGAGCTGGAGGCCTCCTGTAAAGCAGCCAGCAGCACTTGCCCGGGGCTCTGACCATTCCCAGGCAAGACTATGGGTCAGCCCTACCAGAGTCTCCAGATTTTTAAGAAGACTGGATATTTTCTTGTGGAGTTTCCCAAATCTCCAATATTGGCAACTAACACCAGTAATTTACAGCAGGACAAACAAAATACAACTGTGAGCCAAATTCAACCTCGGCCTGCCAGCTAGCAGCTTCTGTGTTCCTGGAAGAGTTAGGAAGACCAGAAGTTGGGCTGGAGGGGGTCAGAAGGGGATGACTGGGGGCCGGGACGGCAACAGTTTGCCTTTGGTTTTCTCCCGGGAAAAGAACGTTTAAATAATCTCTCAAACACTCATCAACGTATCAACGTAAGAGAACACAGATTTCGATGAAAGTATTGTTTTATTCAAAGGAGTCTGCAAAAGAAGTATCCACTATTTGAATTTTTAAATAGTATTAAAACATCTCCTTAGATTATTTTTCTTGGCTTTACTGGTGGGGGAATCATGCTTCTACTTGTGCCATAGGAATATTTTCATAAGTAATAATTGCCTTAATATTTCTATGTGACTCATTTAATTTTTTGTCTATATTGGAAATTTGTCATTTTTCCTGATTATGAAAGTAATACACATCCCTTGGGGACAGGAAGTGGGGGGACCTCAAAGAATATATAAACACTTTATAAACAATAAAAAGTAATTAATATTCCCTTGCAATGCTCCCCCTCTCTCTCATCATGGTAAAAACTTTGTGTGTGATTTTTCAGACTTTTTTCTGTGTATATAAAAACACATCAATATGAGATAAATATGCAAATCTAAGTTTTCATGGTTTTGGGGTTTTGTTACAAAGACATATAATACTGGTTTTTAATTTATCTTTTCACAAAATAGTATCATTGATGAATTGATTGATGTATTGATTTGATTCTTCTTGGAAATCATTATCCACAATAGACAGAACAGATCTGTGTTCACATTGGAGCCCCACCATTTACCGGTAGTATTAGATGAAATCCTCACCTAGTTTGTACCTTTAATGTAAATATTTCTGGTATTTCACAATTAAGCATAAGGCTGGCTTTGGTTTAATATGTATAATATTTTTAACATGTTGAGCAAGTGTTCACCTATCTATTGAAATAAAATGATTAATTTTTTAATTTTAAACAAAACTTTATTTTTTTATGCTTAAAGTGATTGTTATTGTTTTTTTTTCTTTTTTTATTATTATTATAGTTTAAGTTTTAGGGTACATGTGCACAATGTGCAGGTTAGTTACATAGGTATACATGTGCCATGCTGGTGCGCTGCACCCACTAACTCGTCATCTAGCATTAGGTATATCTCCAATGCTATCCCTCCCCCCTCCCCCCACCCCACCACAGTCCCCAGAGTGTGATGTTCCCCTTCCTGTGTCCATGTGATCTCATTGTTCAATTCCCACCTATGAGTGAGAATATGCGGTGTTTGGTTTTTTGTTCTTGCGAGAGTTTGCTGAGAATGATGATTTCCAATTTCATCCATGTCCCTGCAAAGGACATGAACTCATCATTTTTTATGGCTGCATAGTAAAATGATTAATTTGATTTTAAATTGTGCATGGCCATCAACTCATTAAATGCCATCTTGATGTCTGTTGAGATATTTATGACTTTTTCTTGAACTTTCAATATGGTGAGTTCTTTTAATAGATTTCCTATTGAGAATCTATTCTTGCATCTTGGTACAAACTTTTCTTCACTGTAGCATATTTTTCTTATAATGCTCTGCTCAATTCTTTGATAGGATGTGAGACTGTACCAAGTTTTATTTCTTCAGTTTTTATGCAGACCTTCTATGATTTGGTATGATTATTATGCTGGCCTTACAAATATGATTTTGGATGTTTTTCTTTTGCAATGAAACATTTAAAATGGCATCAGCATAACCTTTTCTTTAATAATGTGAAAGGAATTTGTATCAGTGGGCCTGGTGCTTTTTAGGATATAAAGCTCTTAGACAGCTTTCTTAATTTCTTTAAGAAATTTCTTATAGAAATCATCTTAAGTTTTGGGGCATATTGCAGTCACTTAGAGATTTCTTTCGAAAATCCTTATGCTGAAGCTCAACATAAACAGTTAAATTAGAATATCTGGGGGTATGTGCGTACATTAGTTTAGTTTGGTTAAGCTTTTATTTTTAAACCAACCTCCTCCTACTTCCATAATTCTAATGTGCAGCCAGGATTGAGAAATGCTACTTAGATCTCTATCTCGTTTGAGTCAATTTCAATAAGTAAAGACTTCATCTACATCATCTATGTTTAGTCGCTGTTTTTTTATGCGCACTGCTGAATATATACGTGTGTGTTATATTTGTATGGTAGATTTTCTTTCCAAGTTAGATTTGTCGGTAGTTGATCTGGTTCTAAAGATAGAACCAAGCTGGGCATGGTGGCTCACACCTGTAATCCCAGTGCTTTGAGAGGCCAAGGCAGGAGGAGTTCAAGACCAGCTTGGGCAACATAGCAATATCCTGTCTCTAAAAAAATAAAAATAAAAAAAATTAGCCAGATGTGGTGGCATGCCATGTAGTCCCAGCTACTTGGGAGGCTGAGACAGGATTACCTCTTGAATCCAGGAGGTCAAGGCTGCAGTAAGCTGTGATTGCACCGCTGCACTCTAGCCTGAGTGACAGAGCAAAACTCTGTCTTTGCAAAATAAATAAATGAAAATAGAGCCAACTCTGGGATTGATTTATTCTTTTTACTTTTTTAAATCTAATTTATTATGTACTCCTAATCTTAATTAGATTTTTCCTTCTCCTTTTCTTATATTTATTTTTTGTTTTTTTTCTTATTGAGCTGGATATTTAGTTCATTTACTTTTTCACATTCTTATTCAATAATGTGAATGTCTAATAAAAATTTGCCTCCCCACACAGATTTAGTCATATTCTAGTGTTGTCATTTTTATTTTCATGATATTTTGGAATCTGAGGTTTAACATTCTTGTTTTTTATTAACCTAAGATAAATATCAATTTTTAAAATTAATGGTTCAAAATATTTTGTTGCACTTAAAAATTGTATTCAAATTTTATATTACTTAGATAATTTGTTCTGTAGTTCTCCTTTTAATAATTTTCTGTTCCCTAATATGGCCGGTTTTTATAAATTTTTCATGGAGACATAGAAAAAGTTATATTGTCTGCTATGCACTATCATTGTGTTATTTCTCTTTCATAGCCAGTGCTTTTTCTGTTTATTTCTCTTTTTATTTATATCCTGTAGACATTGGCTCAAGTATTGTGATGTTTTTGTAACTTGGTACTTAAAGACTCATGTTCAACATACTTGTGCTATATACTAAATAGCTTATCATTATAAAATGTACTTGTATGTACTTGTTTACTTTTTCTTATCTGATAATAGTATTGAGATTCTTTCTTCCTTTCATTTATTTTTTTAAGCCTTCACTTACATGGAGTGTCCACTTATTGTTATGTTTTCAACATTTCTCATTTGTTTTAATTTACCTAAGTTATATTTATTTTATTTTATTTATTTTTTTGAGACACAGTCTTTCTGTCACCCAGGCTAGAGTGCAGTGGCACGATCTCGGCTCACTGCAGCCTCCACCTCCCAGGTTCAAGCAATTCTCCTGCCTCAGCCTCTCAAGTAGCTGGGACTACAGGCACGCGCTACCAGGCCTGGCTAATTTTTTTGTATTTTTAGTGGAGACAGGGTTTCACCATGGCTGGTCTTTAACTCCTGACCTCAAGTGATCCTCCCGCCTCCGCCTCCCAAAGTGCTGGGATTACAAGTATGAGCCACCACGCCTGACCTTTTAATTTCTTATTTTTATATATATCGGGATATAAGCGCAGATTTCTTACATGCATCTATTGTGTAGTGGTGAAGTCTGGGCTTTTACTGTACCCATAACTCAAATAGTGAACTTTGTACCCAGTAGGTAATTTTCCAATGTCCCACCTTTCTGAGTCTCCAAGGTCTATTATTCCACCCTGTAGGTCCATTTGCACCCATTGTTTAGCTTCCACTTATAAGTGAGAACATGCAGCATTTGACTCACTGTTTCTGAGTTATTCAGTTAAGATCATGGCCACCATGTCCACACATATTGCTGCAAAAGACCTGATTTCATTCTTATTCATGACTGAATAGTATTCCTTGATGTAACACATTTTCTTTATCCAGTCAACCGCTGATTGACACTTGGTCTGATTTCATGACTTTGCTATTGTGAATAGTGCTGCAATAAATATATGCATGCAGGTATCTTTTTGTTGTAGTGATTTCTTTCTCTTTGGGTAGATGCCAGTAGTGTAATTGTTGGGTCAAATGGTAGTTCTATTTTTAGTTACTTGAGAAATTTCTATACTGTTTTCCATTAAGGTTGTAGTAATTTCCATTTCCACCAACAGCGTATAAGAGTTTTCTTTTCTCCACATTCTTGCTAACATCTATTGTTTTTTGACCTTTAATAATGGCCTGACTGGTGTAAGATGATATCTCATTATGGTTTTAATTTGCATTTCCCTGATGATTAGTAATGTTCAGCATTTTTTCATATGTTTGTTGGCTGTTTATCTTTCTTTGAAAAATGTCTGTTAATGTCTTTTGCCCACATTTGCATGGAGTTATTTGGGTTTTTTGCTGAGTTGTTTGAGTTCTTTGTAGATCCTGGATATTAGCCCTTTGTCGGATGCTTAGTTTGCAAATATTTGTCCTCATCTGTAGGTTGTTTGTTCTGTTGATTATTTCTTTTCTTTTGCCCTGCAGAAGCTTTTTAGCTTAATTAAGTCCCATCTGTCTATTTTTTTTTTTTTGGTTGTGTTTCCTTTTGAATAAATTATTTGCTTAGGCCAATGTCCAGAAGACTTTTTTCCTAGGTTTTCTTCTATGGTCTTTATAGTTTCATGTGTTACTTTTAGGTCTTTAATCCATCTTGAATTATTTTTTGTGTATGGTGAGAAGTACAAGTCCAGTTTCATTCTTCCATATGTGGCTATCCAATTATCCCAGCATCATTTATTGAATAAGGTGTCCTTTCTCCAGCATATATTTTTGTTTACTTTGTCCAAGACCAGTTGGTTGTACATATGTGGCTTTATTTCTGGTTCTCTAGTCTGTTCCACTGATACATGTTTCTGTTTTTATGCCAGTACTGTTTTGGCTACTATAGCCTTGTGGTATAATTTGAAGTCAGGTAATGTGATACCTTGAACTTTTTTTTCTTCCTTGAATTGCTTTGGCTGTTCAGGCTTTGTTTTGGTCTAATATGAATTTTAGAAATTTTTTCTAATTCTGTGAAAATTATGTTGGCAATTCAATAGAAATTATGTCAAATCTTTAGATTGCTTTGGGCAGTATGGTCATCTTAATGATATGGATTTTTCTAATTTATGAATATGTGATCTTTTTCCATTAGTTTGTGTCATCCACAACTTCTTTCATCAGTGTTTCGGAGTGCTCCTTGTAGAGATCTTTCGCATCCTTGGTTAATACATTCTATTTTTTATTGTAGCTATTATAAATGGGATTGCTTTGTTGAGTCAGTCCTCAACTAGATTGTTATTGGTGTATAAAAATGCTACTGATTCCTGTACATTGATTTTGTATATTGAAACTTTGCTGAATTCATTTATGAAATCTAAGTATTTTTTGGCAGAGTGTTTAGGGTTGTCTAGATATAAGATCATTAAGATGGAAATTTTGAAGATATCTAAAATGAATGAAAATGAGATCTTAACATACCCAGATCTGTGATATAGCAAAAGCAGTGTTAAAAGGTAAATTCATACCATTCAATACCTACATCATAAAAGTAGAAAGATCACAAATTTACGACTTAATGTTGAACCTCAAGAATCTAGAAAACAAGAACAAACCAAATCCAAAGTTAGCACAATAAAAGAAATGACAAAGATCAGATCAGAACTAAATGAAATAGAGATTTATAAAACAGTACAAAAGATCAATGAAACAAAAAGTTGAGGTCATTCGAAAAGATAAACAAAACTGATAAACCACTAGCCAGACTAACCAAGAAAAGAAAAGAGAAGATCCAATAAATACAATCAGAGATGAAAAAGGTAATATTACAACTCATACGACAGAAATACAAAAGATCATCAGAGACTATTATGAACAACTATGTGTTCACAAACTAGAAAACCTAGCAGAAATGGATACATTCCTGGAAACATACAACCTCCTGAGATTGAAGCAGAAAGAAATAAAACTCCTGCACAGACCAATACTGAGTAGCAAGATTGAATTAGTAATAAAAAAATCTCCCAACAAAATAAAAGCCCAGGACCAGATGGATTCACAGCTGAATTCTACAAAACAAACAGATAAGAGATAATACCAATCCTTTTGAAACTATTCAAAGAAATTGAAGAAGAGAGAATTCTCCCTATCTCATTCCACAAGACTAGTATCACCCTACACCAAACCCAGACAAGGACACCACATCCAAAAAACCACAGAACTACAGATCAATATCCCTGATGAACATAGACCCAAAATCCTCATCCAAATACTAGCAAATTAAATCCAACAGCATATCAAAAATATAATACACCGTGATCATGTGGGAATTATCCCAGGGATGTAAGGATTGTTCAACATATGAAAATTAATAAATGTGATCCATCACATAAACAGAATTAAGGACAAATACCGTATGATCATTTTGATATATGCAGAAACCACCATTCAATAAAATTTAGCATCCTTCACCATAAAAATCCTCAACAAGCTAGGTATAGAAGAAACATACTTCAATATAATAAAGGCAATATACAATAAATCCACAGCCAATATTATGCTTAATGGGGAAAAGTTGAAAGCATTTGAGAACTAGAACAAGATAAAGATGCTTATTTTTCACCATTCTTATTCAACATAGTACTAGAATCCTCACCAGAACAATCAGGCAAGAGAAGGAAATAAAAGGCATCCAAATTGGAAAAGAGGAAATCAAATTATCCATGTTCACTGATATGATCTTGTACAATTTAATTAATTTGGTTTTAATTGTAGATGAAATCTGAAGAATTGTAAAAACTGTTCAACAAACTTTTATTTAATGATTTAATAGATATTCTTGATCTGAATAAAAGAAGATAGTGATTATAAATTTTTATAAATGTTATATAGAAAATAACAGCAATGAGATACATTTAGAGGATAAGTTACATTCTTAAATGTTTTCATTCTTATCAGGACAGAATGAAATGCAATGAATTAGGTAATCATCACAAGTGCTTCCCCAAACCTGCAGAGTAAATGTAAGGAAAGCGGGATGAAGGAAATGGTAAAGATAATGGCAGAATTTTGAATTGTTAGATGGTTTAAGGGTGAAGCGCATAGGCTCTGAGGCGGGCTGCTTGCCTTGAAGCTCATCTGTATTGTCTGCTCTTGGGAAAATTACTTTTGCTACCTAATGGCTGCGTACCTCAGTTTCCTCATCTATAATATGGGGATGAAAATAGTACCTAGCACATAGAAATCTCTTGAGAATTATATGTTATTCTTTTTATTAGGTTAAGAGTTCTTTGAAAAAAATTATAAGAAGAGGATAAAAACACAAATATGTTTGTTGACAAACGAGAAAAAGTATAATAACATATGGAAAAGTTTCTTTTAATTAAAGGCATAATTTTTAAACAAAATTAATGTAACTTTATCAAGAAAACGATCCTACATAGAGCAATGAAAGTTGAAAAACAGTTGAAAATTTTGTCAAAATATTATCTGTAATAAAGTTTTCCATCTAACTGCTCCTCCCCATACTTCCCTGCTCTCGTATCTGCAAAATATTGCCTTGTTTGTACATTTCCTTCACATTTGCTGCCTCACTGCCCTCACAGACATTTTGGCAGTCAGGCAAGTAAGTATATTTCTCATTTTACTAAGAAGAAAGCAGAGGATCGAAAAATTAAATAATTTGTCAACTATCACACAGCTGAGAAATCTCTGAGCCTGGACTGTTTGAGATCTTAACATATTGCTTTCAGTAGAACAATACCAATTTAGACTTGAATTGTCATAAAAGGTTAAGTTTATGTTTTAAATGCTGTGTGTAAGGAAGGCAGCAAAATGCACATACCACCTTGGAAAAATCTTAGGTAAAAGTTTATAAGCATTTAACACGTGCAGTGTTAACTGAACTAATCTGGGACAATTCAGTTACTGGAAGCTATTCAAGTTTAACTTCATCCAATAATATTTTCAGGGAGAGGGGCTGAATGGTTAACTTAGATTTCTGACAGTTACAAATTATACTTAATTGACTTAAAACTCTGATTCACTAGGCCTATCACTTCATGTTTGTTGGATAAGGTAAATTAAATAATTCTCAGTTATTTTAGACCAGTAGAAAATGTTGTAGCTGTACTCTTAAGTTGTAGTGAGAAATCAACTCAGACCTGGTGTAAAATCTGGGTTAGGAAGATGTTCGTTATGTTTTACTCTTTTGATTTTTATGTAAGACCATTTTTGCCTTTAAAGTCTTATGTGTTTCTCATTCTCTACTTCTCAGTGTTCTGACTTGCCTAAATCAAGCAAAAGTTTCTGCATCTACAAAACCAAGCAAGCCCCAACCATGTTTACATTCTTTTCTGCATATTTCTTTGCCCAGCAGCACCTCAGCACCGAAGAGTGTTCAAGAGTAAACATCATTCTTTATATAGACTCCAAGAAGAGGTAACCCAAGCAAATATCATGTGACTAGAAGTCTTTGAAAGCTAATATTTAGTGACCTCTTGTGTTCTTCACTTTCAAAATATTTGTCTCTGGAAATAATGTGAGAACCAGTTTGTCAAGGGGAAGTCAAAGTGGACAAAACTCAATTCTCAAATATTTCCCTCTATGGGTACCTAAGTAGGGGCTGTGAGTTGAAGAGATCAAAGAGGCTACCTATAGCACCTGTGGTTCTTTTGCAAAGAACAAAGACTGTAATCCGAGATTCAAACTCTATACCTCAGTCACATTTGGTAGAGGAAGAAAACCTTAGGGTTTTAGTTTGGGGAATTTTAGAGGAGATAAAATTATGTGACATCAAGGCAAAAGTACACATTGCCAAATTTAATTAAAATTTTGGTATTTAAGTTCAATATTTTAAAAGTAAAAAGAAACCTTTTGATAATAATAAAAATAGATACTTGCTGTCAGACTTGTTTTTCAGACAGTGAAATGTTGACTGTTGACTGTTTAAACAAAGCACAAACATTACATTTACATCAAAATTTAAATAACTTTTTACAATGGATGATAGAATAAGTTTAATAGAACACATTCTTTAAAGCAAATTAAAGATTCATTAAAGGATTATTCAAATCTGCTTAGATGGTTGACAAATTCAAAATTACAACCAGATACAGACAGATGGTCAATTATTTGAATTGCAAACTGAATTCAAACCCATTTATATTATTATTCCCAACAATAAAGAACAAATGTTACTTACATTTTTGAGAGGAGAGTTAAAATTATCTTCCCAGACTTAATACAAGTTTAAAAATTAAAAATAAATCCAATCTAAATACATAGTTATTATTACCACTAGAAATATAAATCATTAACTAGTACTTTGTAACCCAATAATTCACAATAATTCATTCACTCAACTGATCTTTAATGAGCACCTACTATATGTCAGGTTCAGTGCAAGGGGCATGGGTAGAGTGTTGAACAAAGAAGATAAAGTCCATTTTCTCCTGGAGTTGGGAGTCTAGTTGGGGAGGAACAAATACGCAGAGAGCCACAAGACAGAGAGTTAAATGCTATGATGCGAGAAGGACTGAGTTTACCGAGGGGTACCCAACCCATCCTGTAGAGTCAGAGAAGTGGCAGACTAGTGAACTGTTTGGGTCTATGGGTTGTCAGGAGGTAACCAAGTGAAGGGAAAATGTTTCCATGCCTTATGTACTTTGCAAGGGCTAAAACCAGCCTCACCATTAAGTGAGCTCTGTGAATTAGTAAAAAGGCCTTCTCTTAGTGAGGAGCTTGGTGCTGATGCACTATGGCTCTGCTTTTGACCAAGAGGCTTATTTAGATTTAAGCAAGAAGAGAGGGTGCAAAGAGAGATGTAGTTGGGTCCCCAAATGCCTGGAGTTAGAGGGATCTGTATCCTCAAAGGCTCCTCTCCAGGCATGGAAAGTAGGCTGTATTCCAGATGTTCATGTTCAAAGGGGCTTGGAGAATTCTGTCTGATTTGTAATGAGATGATGGTAACAAAGAAGCACATTTATCTTGGCTTCAGTGAAACTCAACAAAAAGAGTCTATTGAACAGGTGCAGCCAGCAACTGGGAGACGTGAAGCATTGATTGTAGGGAGAAGGTAGAAAGCTCTAGACTGTATAGAAAGGAGATTATCAAGAGCTGTACAAATACCCTTGTAACAATAACCTTACAAGGGTTCAGTGGATTCCTCTGTCTAGCCCAGAAAAAGTCAGCAACCAAGGATCATTTAAGAGCCCTTGGGAATCCTTAGTGGGCCTGGGGAAGGAAGAGAAGATGGGACAAATCAGAGGGAAGCTGCTCAACTTTGTTCTGTTTTAGTTGTGTTTTTGCTTACGCTTCACTGAGCAAAAGCTGATTTGGCTTTAAAAATTTTTGAAAGCCTCAGATGCAGTTGTCCAGACATATCTCTTAGCTTGGTTATGTAGTAGCTGTGAATCGTTGGGGAATGTAACCTCTCTGTGCTTAGTGTTCTCTTGTGAGAATTTAGATAATAATGCCTACCTTAATGGGATTGTTGTGAGCATTATATGCACAAAGCCATGTAAATTGTTTCACAAAGGCCAGGAACGCTACCAGGTGTGGTTGTGTAGATTGGGCACCGTAAAACTCTGTGAGTAGTCTGTCTGAAGGTGCCTTGCTGAATTCTGAAGTTCAAAATCTGCGTATCTGTATATGTTGGCTCTGGCAGGCATGTAGGAAGAAGGTGATATCTGGTACCCATTGTGAGGATGACAGGCAGAAACCTGTTATAAGAGTAGAGTAAACATAGAGAAAAGATAGAAGACAGCTATAATTGGATGGTAGGTAGTAAAATGATGGCCGGGGCACAACCCATCCACACCAATACTGAGCTAGGCAAAAAATTAACCCAGGCCTCATGGGTTGGTGTATCTGAGCCCAGCTCGAGAATGATATAGGACAGAGCTGTTCTGGCAATGTTATATACTCAGAGGCCTCAGTGCTTGCTTCTAGGTAAACTTCTGCTAATCTTCCCTTGGGGAAAGGTGTGACACCTTTTTTGCTCTTGTTTTTTTGCTCTTGTTGCACAGGCTGGAGTGCAGTGGTGCAATTTCATCTCACTGCAACTTCTCCTGCCTCAGTCTCCCAGGTTCAAGCAATTCTTCTGCCTCAGTCTCCAGATTAGCTGGGATTACAGGTGCCTGCCACCACATCCAGTTAATTTTTGTATTTTTAGTAGAGATGAGGTTTCACCATGTTGGCCAGGCTGGTCTTGAACTCCTGACCTCAGGTGATCCACCTGCCTCGGCCTCCCAATGCGCTGGGATTAGAGGCGTGATCCACTGCGCCCTGCCAATATGAATGATTTTCATGGAGCTTTGAAACCCTAATAGACAAGGGTTCTATGGAATTGAAAGCTGGAACAGTGGCATTTTTGACGTTGTCGGGGAAACCCAGACATGAAAGGTGACCCTTCTGAATCCAGTGTCAGCAGACTAGCATGGCTGTCCAGATCACAGGTATCAGAAAGCCACTACCATCATGAGCACTTTGTGGTTTACACTGGCAGGTTACCAAGGCCACTGGTAGCAGATGCATTAGGTCTTTGCCTAATGACCTGGCTTCTTTTGCAGGAATCAGCAAACTTTCTCTTGCAAAGTTTCTATTTCAACAAATTATTTCACTCCCAGAACAAGTTCACAATGAGAGTGAGGGGAAAAGATTAAAAGTAAGGAAATTTTCAACAGAGATTACACTCACAGTCTATTTTCCATGTATTTGGATTAAAGAAAATGCATTTACAATTAATCTGAGATGGTAGAAGAAATAAGATATATGTGTTGCTTCAATCACAGCTCAGTTTTCCTCCCAATATTACCTTCCACTTTACTGGGCTTTCCCACAAAAAATTAGAAATGAAACATCACTCTTGTGGAGGTACTGATACTTTGAATTGGTGTGTGCCTGTGTTTAAAATGCCAACCAGCAGTGATCATTTGAAGGTAAGCGTGACCTGAGATTGTAAGACCTTGAAGAGCAGAATCTTCACAAGGTTGGTCTTTAAAAAAAGAAATAATCATTTTGTTTTTGTTGCCACGAAATGACCTTGAATTTGATCCAGTTTAATACCTTTAAAGATATGAAAATATAAGATCCAGGAATGGGAAGTAATTTCTGTAAAGTTTGGACATAAGACCTGCTGGAAGACAATCTTGCATGGGTATTTTGCATTTTTGCACATCTTGTGAGAAGAAACATTGAGTGTCTTCATTTTGTACTATCATTGAAAGGATGTTTGTTCAGCCTTAGAAGAAAGAGATAGTAACTTTTTGCAAGCAAAGGACACACATGCTTACGCCTCATTATAAAAAATTTAGATATCTTCAGCTCAGGGTTTCTTTCCTGTGATAAGGGCACCTTATGTGCATGAAGCTATCTGGTCTTGTTTGCACTGCCCCATGGGACTTGGTGGACAAGGGAAACTGATGCAAATAATGCTGCTGATGATGATGCTTGCTGTGCTGTGAGTTAAATAGTCTTTTGTCTCTGACCCAGGAGTCTTGTGTTTTCTACCAACATCCATGAAACTGTGCAGGCTAATTTGTTAGCTTTCAAGTAGGATAAAATCTCAGACCCTTCACAATTATTGATCGGAGTAAAGGCCTAGAGCAGGAATTCTTATTCATGACTGGCGCTGTGGTGTTCGCTATTTGATATGAGGTTTGCAAATTGGTGTTTTTACTGAAGAATCTTTTCTACGAGTGAAACATGCCCACCCCCAAAATACACAGGAACGTTCAAACCTCAAACAGGACATAGATTATGTGATTCTATGGAGAAATTAAGATATTTTCAAACTCATCCTAGTGTCTTAGGTTGCAAACCAAGAAAGAAATGGAAATCCTGGTAATGTTTCTAGGATTTCCTCATCAGAACTGAAGTCAGGAGCCTGTGCCTCTTCATCTTCCTTCATACCAACAGCACTGGTATACTTTATTTCTATGGAGAGAGTCTATGGTTTATTTCTCTTTTCCCCATCCCACCACCAAGAACTCATTCTCATGTATATTCAATTCAAATTCTTTTAAGGTCACTTTTGCTAATAAGAACATATTTATCGCCTCCATTGTTCCACCTAGCAGTGTTCATTCTGGGTTTTTCTTCATTTTCATTGTTGACCCAGTGCTGCTGCCACCACCATTGCTGCCCTGAGTAAGAAATCTCCTCCTCCTGATTGCTATTCTCCTGAGCACACCTGTCATAAATCCTGTGGACTTCATTTGCCTTTGATCCTCTCTGACTTCCTGCTTGGTATTCAGAGCAGCAGAAAGGATGCCTTTCTATTTCATCACCTTCATCCTGTCTGCTCAAATAGGAACGCACCCTTTTATCAACATGCCTCACAGCTTGCCCCGACTCTGTCACTTCAGGGAAGAGATCTGACTGGTGACAGAATAAGGAAATCAGAGCTGCTGGGCTGAGAAAAACAAGAGCTCTTGAGGTGACTGTAAGGATCTTCTAGGAATAATGAGGGAAGATTGGATTGTG
This sequence comes from Homo sapiens, assembly GCF_000001405.40. Lineage (NCBI taxonomy): Eukaryota > Metazoa > Chordata > Mammalia > Primates > Hominidae > Homo > Homo sapiens. The sequence goes on along the minus strand of NC_000015.10, from coordinate 94,105,849 downwards.
CACAGGCTACTCTAGTCCTTGGCATTCAAGAAACATCTTAGTCAGGGAACATGCACCCGCCCAGGCTAATAAACACTTAAGTGTCGGTTTCAAGGACAGACAATAATTCAGGCTCTTGTACCCAAAAGCAAAATCATACTGATGATCATTAGTTTTGGAATTTCTTCCTCTCTTTCAAATCCATTTTTGAACAAGTGCACACTTTTAACTTTTCTGTATGCCCTGGCTCTCTTAAGAGCCATGAACATTTAATAAACAGAGAGAAAACTCAGGATTGCAGATGATGTTAGGGCATGGTCACAGACACCTCAAAATAGATTTTTACATGAGCCAGGAATATTCCATGGGAAACAAAGGCAGCTACTTTTTTATGTCTGGTAGTAATTTTATTCATTTTACATGTAACTTTTCTTTCCAAAAAAATATATCACTCTCCTTGCCAAAAAGAATGGATAATCCTTTTGGAGAGAAAAGTTACAAGCAAAATGTGATTTTACATGTGTACATTAAATATATATATTTATATATATATTTATATATATTAATATATATTTATATATATTTTTTATATATTTATTTATATATATTTATATATATTTTATATTTATATTTATTTATATATATTTACATATATTTATATATATTTATTTATATATATATATACACACACACACACACATACACACACACCTTACTGTTATCTCCTTTTGCAAAAAGGAAGTTCAGTAGATGTTGCTATCCTGGACAACACCACAAGGTGCAGTTAAGAGTTTTCCAGGGTATCCCTGACCAAGTATATTGAGGGACATTTTGCTTGCTCCTTAAGGGAACCCCCACTTTCTTTTTTATTCAATAGATAGAATGTTTCTGGGAAAGCATGGCAATAGAATCCCCCAAGGATTGCACACAGAAACACCCCTGAAGACACAGGCCTCCTAGAACTGCAGATTATCCTGTTGAGACCAGATCCTCTGAGATTCTCACTACAACTCAACTGCCTGAGCTGCCCATAACTTGTAGGTAGCCAACCCTGCTCCACAGGGCCACAGTTCTATGCTACATCCTTTCTGCTTCCAGTTATAACACCATCACACACATCAGGATCATCCTGCAATATGTACATTGATGCTTACCTAGAAGGTCCAGCCCTTCCTCTTCCCCCGTGCCTTCCTCCCAGCAAAAGAAGTATGTAAGAATTTTGAGTTTTTGTATTATTCCTTTCTCATGCTGCTATAAAGACATATCTGAGACTGGGTAATTTATAAAGGAAAGAAAGGTTTAATGGACTCAGTTCCACATGGTTCGGGAGGCCTCACAATCATGGTGGAAGGTGAAGGAGGAGCAAAGGCAGGTCTTACATGGTGGCAGGCAAGAGAGCGTGTGCAGGGGAGCTCCCTTTTATAAAACCATCAGATCTCATGAGACTTATTCACTATCATGAGAACCCCACAGGAAAGACCACCCTCATGATTCAATTACCTCCCACTGGGTTCCTCCAACAACACATGGGGATTATGGGAGCTACAATTCAAGATGAGATTTGGGTGGGGATACAGCCAAACCATATTAGGGATGCTCCCATTATCTGTCTTCCTATCCTCCATCTTCAACACACACAGACACACACACGTGCATGCACACACACACACACACACACAGTGTGCTATTGAATTCCAGGCATTCAGAGGACAAGGCTGAGGTTATTCAGGACCCTGGTGCATAGACTGTGCTTGTGATTTATGGCTTCTCTTCCTCACACTTCCTGGTTAAAACCTCTTATACACCATCTTACGGAATCTTCTGTTTGGAAAGAAATGCAAACAGTTATGATTTATTTTATTTATTCCACTCTTTCCAGATGAGGAATGGTTTAAGCTGCATCTCATGTGATCTCAGGGGACACAGCATCATCTCTAGAAGTTCATTTAAAGAAAGGGGATTATGTTGGAATTACCTACTTTGTTAGAGCCCTTGAGCTGGAATCCTATCATGTCACAAACAATGCTGAAGGAATGTGCAAACTTCAAGAAATTAATCCCTAAGAGATGGTCTGCATTTCATCCAGATAACCTCAAAATTTATACCTAAGGCACCCAGGAACATGGGGCAGTATCAGTTTTTGTTTTTTTTTAATAAAGAAATTCTCCCTTGGCTTAACCCAGTCTCTTCCACCACCAAACACCATTTCTCCTGTTCTAGACATCCTGGCAATAGAGAATGACAGGTCTGCCTTCTCTTCTTAGAAGTCATTGAGCTTGTGAAGCAGGGCCTTTTCTCTCTTTGTGCAATTCCAATTCTTCCCTTGATTACCATACCATGGGCATGAGCTCCATGCCCAGTATTTGGCGTCTGGATCCATTTCCTAGAGATTGACAGTGTCTCTAGTGTCAGGGAGAGGAGTTCATCACAAAGAAACTCTGCTGGAGACTTTAGATTTGATTCACAGGCAAAAGAAAGAAAAAAAGAAGAAAGAAAGAAAGAGAGAAAGAAAGAAAGAAAGAGAAAAAAGAAGGAAGGAAGGAAGGAAGGAAAGAAAGAAAGAAAGAAAGAAAGAAAGAAAGAAAGAAAGAAAGAAAGAAAGAAAGAAAGAAAGGAGGGAAGGAGGGAAGGAAGGAAGGAAGGGAGGGAGGGAGGGAGGGAGGGAGGGAGTGGGAATTTCAACAGCAACTCTTAGAACCATTCCAAAAAAAAGCCTCCTCAGATAAATTATGCACAGTTAGTCCCCTAAGTGTACACACAAGGCATCTCTGTGAACTGTGCCTTTTCAGCTTCCGTCCTACTTGCATGCATGCCTGCTAATGGAAATCAATATTGCAATTAAATTGAGGAAGGGCACCTTCCCTCTAATCCTGTCAGCAATCATAGAACTTTGTTTATTCACTAGTTTTTCTTCTTGATTCCTCTTTTGTATTCATGTATAATGATGATTAAAGGGGTTTCTGCCTGCCCCACTGATGGTCATGCTTTACACTAGACTACCTTTCTTTCTTCTTATAGTTTATCCTTTAAGATCCTATTCACTCATTATCCTTTGCCTCATGTTATTCGCCCAGCAGACAATATTTTGCTTGAACACTTCTATTGATAGAAGATTCCCTGGTTCCTTATGGTGTGTTTTCACTATATTCTTAGAAAGATTCCTATATGTTCAGCCATATTTAGACTTCCCTATATTTTATGCATATCGATTCTGATTCTACTCTTCTTGTTTCATAGGTTTATTTGTTCTGGAACCAATAGCACAGCTTTGTGTTGATTATGGTTTTATTTCCTTCATTAGATTCGGCTACTTTTGCACCTCAGAAGATTATAACCAAGAGTCAAATGAATTGGCTCTTTGGTTTCTCCCTAATCCATGTCATTGGCAAGTTTGCTCATCGTAAAGTCAACTTATTTATTTCATCATGAATAAAAATGCTGATCAAAGCCAGTCTGAAAGCCGAATTGGGGGTAGGTTTGGAGTTGTTCAGCATTGATGGAATCCAGTGAGAATGAATGTTCATTACACAGAGACACCTATAATGAGAGTTAAAGAAATATGCTAATCATAGTGGTGTGACAGCATCTAAGGGAATGAGACTTCTGAGTGAGTGACCCTGGAATAATGGAAGGAAGCCTCTTTTACATGATTTCATAAATAGTTAAGTGGAAATTATCCAAATCGGCAGCACACCAGTTAGATTCTGGGAGGCATTTGTTTGATGATTCTTAAAGCCATATTAACATAACTGAAACCTAGCACTTCCCAGAGTGTACTTAATGGATTTCAATACAAATTCTTTGCAAAAAAACAAAAACAAAAAAATCAGCCAAAATTTTGGAAAGGGCTGGCTTAGGCAAAGTTAAGCAGGTTTCTTTCATTTTTAGACTTCTTAAAGTTTAAATAGAGAGTTTTGACAAGTAAGTTTCTTTTTTTTTTTTTTTTTTTTTTTTTTTTTTTTTTTTTTTTTGAGACGGAGTCTCGCTCTGTCGCCCAGGCCGGACTGCGGACTGCAGTGGCGCAATCTCGGCTCACTGCAAGCTCCGCTTCCCGGGTTCACGCCATTCTCCTGCCTCAGCCTCCCGAGTAGCTGGGACTACAGGCGCCCGCCACCGCGCCCGGCTAATTTTTTGTATTTTTAGTAGAGACGGGGTTTCACCTTGTTAGCCAGGATGGTCTCGATCTCCTGACCTCGTGATCCACCCGCCTCGGCCTCCCAAAGTGCTGGGATTACAGGCGTGAGCCACCGCGCCCGGCCGACAAGTAAGTTTCTTAATGGTGTATAATTTGTGTAACATTTCTTAAATTTATTTGCTGAAAGGACTTATTTTTTTCTTGGAATGATTTGAAGGGTTATTGTTCTCTTGGGAAATTCTACACTAATCAGGGTGGGACTAGGGTGAGGCAAGTGAGGCGCTAGCACCTGCACAACGTGAGAGCAAGCACCTCCTTAAATTGCACACCCTGGGTGCTTCATGGCTTGTACTAGTCCCAAACCTGGCTCTAAACCATGGGCAGTGGCACAGGCTAGCCAGGGAGAGACTTCTGAGTTTACGCGTGAAGCTATACCACAACATGTCTGCCGCAACCAGCCAGCTACCCAAACATTTCCTGAACAAATGAATTCCAACTAAAATGAAGAGGTATTGTCCCTGACTACTGGGATCAGTAAACAAACGATATCATGGAACAGTGCACTGTGAAACAGTTACCAGTCCCAGGGAAAGACTCCAAATACATGGAGAATAGCGAAGATCATCAACACTATGCCAACCACCAGGAATAAACATCCAAACACTTCTGTCCATTGCATTTTGGTACTGACGTTGCCAAGGAAAACAAAGCAGTCAAGCACCAGATGGGACAACGCTTTACTTACACAGAGAAGAGACAGAGCCAGATCAGCTTCAATGGCATGTCAGTCCTCCGTGGCCAGAGGGTTCCCACCCCACAACCCCTGGCATCCAAGTAGGGCAATTTACCTAAACACACTCCTCTCCCATCACAACAGAAGGACTCTGACCCCTACCCCAAGGAATATGAAATACAGAAAACTGGAGACATGCCTGAGGGTCATTGACATACATACTTAAGCAGAACTAAGGGATACTCATTGAGCCTGAAACAGGGAAAAATAGTCCCACACTTGGTAAGGAAGTGTTCCAGGCTCATGGCCCATTCTTATGTGGCCAAGGAGGGTCAGAAGACTGTACACGAGACTGCTTTTCTCAGCAGATATCAACATAGTTATTCTGTGACTGAGCCCTTTTAATTCACCCTGTGGTGTGTGCATGAGTACGTGTACACACACACCATCTAGAATATGAAACTGCAGGCTTTCCTTGGTCCAGCACAGTCATGTGTGACTCTTCCTGGCTAAATGCTGATGAACCTAAAGGGAGCATGGCTCGTTCCCCACAGTGCCCCTGTTACATGCCAGGACTTGAGGAATGATTAGAGTCCTGAGTTCAAGCTGAGAGGTAGTTGCCCTCCTCTATAGAATACGCCCTTGGCTTCTACTTCCCCATGGATGGAAGGTAAATCCTCAACAGGGTGCCACTTGAGGATCAGGAGATCTTGTATCTGGGAGCGGCTCCACTCCACAGTTCCCCACCACTCCTACCCCTATGTGGCCTATCCATTCTTTTTCTTTTATTATCTCAAAGTTTCTGTGAGTCAGGGGTTTGGACTTGACTTGGCTATATTTTCTGCTTCAGAAATTCATAAAGTTGCCATCAATGTATTGGCTAGGGCTGAAGTCTCACCTCAAGGCTCAGCTGGTGAAAGATGCACTTCTAAGTTGACATGGTTGTTACCAGAATTCAGTTCCTTGTAGGTTACAAGACTGATGGCCTCAGTTTGTTGCTAACTATAAGCTAGAAGCCTTCCTCAGTTCCTTGCCACACAGGCCTCTGTACAGGGCAGCGTACAATATAGAAACTTATTCCATCAAAACCAGAAAGGGAGAGAGTTTCCTAGAAATATAGACATTAAAATGTTATGTAACATAATCCAGGAAGTGACATTCTGTCATTTTTGCAATACTCTATTTGTTAGAAGCAATTCACGAGTCGTGCCCATACTCAAGGGAGGGAATCACATAAGAATGTGAATACTGGAAGTTAGGGAGAATTGGGGCCATCTTGGGGAATGTTTTCAAAGTCCAGGGAGCTTACAAATATGCCTTGGTTTATATGTTCTGCATTTGCAAGGTCTTATTTTAAGCCAGTGGTGGGTAGCTCACTAGAGCCTTCTGTGGTTTCTCCTAAGCAGGGACACACAGCTTTGTGCATGTGTATAGGCTTCCAGATGACCAGGTGTAAGTGGGATCTCAACAGGGTTCCTTTTGTCCGTCTCATTTAGCTAAATCTTCCTGTTACATTTCTGGCTGCTTTGCTGTTCTGTGAAATCTCCCAACTAGGACGGACCTGAGGCTGATGTTATCCTTCCCTGTTTATGTTACGTTTGCCACTCGTAGCTTTCTTGTTTTCAACAAGAGGATTTTCCACTATCTGCTCCAAATGCTGCAAGTTCTCCTCTAGCAGGGAGCAGAGCTTCCAGGCATTATGATCTGTCCTGCCTGTCTGGATGGAACTTCTGCTCCATACTATTGGTGAGTGGGGGTGCAGAGATGGGAAAAATTCCTAGCTAAAATGTCACAGTAGATTTTCTCAGATAAGTGCTTCTAAATTTTGTTATATGTTCTTTGGTCAATTCCCAAAGTCTTTAAATAGTAATTTTTGGCAAATTGTTACAGTTTTAACACTGCTTTATGCAACAGTTTTTCAACTTCATCACCCAGCCATTCAGAAATTCCTGTCTCCAGACCTACAGAATCAGAAACCACATTTTAAAAATAGTTTCATGTGATTTGTATGCATAATTCGCTTGAGAAACAGTAGTCTGGGTGATTTTCAGAAATTCCAAATGAGAAGCATTCAAATATGTACTGATATCCAAGATCCTCAGTTTGGAGGTTTCAGTACTATTTATTGTGGGATTAAGAAAAATTGAAAACACAATGCTTGTTTCTAGAATGTTAAATAGAAAAGTGTAACTATTTTCCCCATATATTAGAAAAAATACCGTGCATATTACACTTACCCCAAATATACAAAAATAATAATTTATAGTTATTAGTGGGATAGAGAGGAGTATAATCCTATCACCATAGGGGATAAAGTACCTCAACTCATAGTCCAATGCAGTATCTTGAAAATGAAAACAATAGCACTGTAACTATAGGAGTACAATAAGAACTGAACTGATTAAATGTTTACCCAATTCATTAGAAAATTCTATTGACTCTACCTTTAAAACCCATCTTGAATTTGTGGATATAATTGGTGTATCTGTTCAGTTGCCACTTGGTTGCCTACACCTGAAAGGCAATACGGTGGAGCCAATCAAATTACAATTGACCCTTGGACAGCATGGGTATTAGGGGTGCCAACACCCCTTGTAATTGATAGTCCGTGTATACTTTTTTTACTTCCTCAAAACTTCACTACTAATAGCCTCCTGTTGACTGGAAGCCTTATGGATAACATAAACAGTTCATTAACACATATTTTGTATTTTATATGCATCACATACTGTATTCTTTAAAAAAGTAAGCTAGAGAAAAAATGTCATTAAGAAAATTATAAAAAAGAGAAAATATATTTACTCTTCATTAAGTGGAAGTGGATCATCATGAAGGTCTTCATCCTTGTCTTTACACTGAGTAGGTGAGGAGGAGGAAGTGGGGGGTTGCTTTTACTGTTTCAGGAGTGGCAGAAGCAGAGGGAAATCTACATACAAGTGGATCTGTGTTGTTCAAACACATGTTCTTCAAGGGTTAACTGTCATTGACATCGAATCACCTTCATTCTTTCTAGCTTTGAGCAAGTTAGTAACTTCTCCATGTTTGTGTCCTCATTTATATAAGGAGGATAAAAGTATTTCACTTATAGGAAGCTGTGAGAATTAAACGAGTTAATATGTAAAAGGTTAAAAACAGGGTCTAGCCCTCAGAAACACTGTGTAGGCATTTGCTTTTATTACTCTCCAGTGTTACCAACATAGTCTGAGTCACTTTGATTTATTGTCTGTATTACTTAACAACACACTGTCTATCTGGCCTTTCTCCTTCTACTTTTGTTTCCTTAGGGTCTGTTATCCATCCTGTTTTCATGATGATCCTTTAAAAAATGTATAGGCCAGGCATGGTGGCTCTCGCCTGTAATCCCAGCACTTTGGGAGGCCGAGAGGAGCGAATCACTTGAGGTCAGGAGTTCGAGAGCAGTCTGGCCAACATGGTGAAACCCCGTCTCTACTAAAAATACAAAAATTAGCTGGGTGTGGTGGCGCATGCCTGTAATCCCAGCTACTTGGGAGGCTGAGGTGGGAGAATTGCTCCAACCTGTGAGGTGGAGGTTGCAGTGAGCCGAGATCTTGCCATTGCTCTCCAGCCTGGGCGGACAGAGTGAAACTCTGTCTCAAAAAAAAAAAAGTATGTAACTCTTTTTACTTTCTTGTGGCTGCAATGTACTAGAGCTGGCCAGCGCTGACGTAGGAGAGAGCCAGTGGTGCTCATCTCTTACTAACTCCGCCTCCAGTGACTTCACTTTAGTATACTGAAATTGGCCATGGTAGGATATACACACCATGGAGTTTGGCAAATGCTACAGATCACTTTCTTTTCCCTGGAAAGCTGTTTTTAAAACATTTACCAGCATACCACTAACTGATACCCTCCAAAACTTTTCACAACACTTCCAATAAGGTCTGAATTCCATCCTCTGTCCTACAAGGCCCTGAATGTTCTGAACCGTGCCTTCGTCTCAAACTTTATTTCCTTTCTCTTTGCCTTGCTAAGTGCTCTCTAGTAAAATAGTTCTTGATCCCATCCCATCACAGGGCCTGAAAGCCTCCTCCTCATTCTCAGGGATTTCTTTTTTTTTTCAAATTTCTGCTCAAATATCATATCCTTTGAAAAGTCTTTCCTGACCATTTTACCTCTGTCACTCTCTATCTCCCTATTCTTTGTTTTTCTTTATAACCCTTATAATTCTTTTATTATATTACCTATGTAAACATTTACTTACTACCCATTAGAATATAAGCATGGTGGTTCACCCCCGTAATCCCAGAACTTTGGGAGGATAAAGTGGCTGGAGATACCTTGGGCTCAGGAGTTCCAGACCAGCCTGGGCAACATGGTGAAACCCTTTCTCTACAAAAACACCAAATATTAGCCTGGTATTGTGACTTGTGTCTGCAGTCCAAGCTACTTGGAAGGCTGAGGTGGGAGAATTCCCTGAACCCAGGAGGCCGAGGCTGCACTGAGCCGAGATCATGCCACTGTACTCCAGCCTGAGGGATGGAGTGAGACCTTGTCTCAAAAAAAAAAAAAAAAAAATTATAAGATCAAGTACTTCATCTGTTTGTTCACTCTTCACTATGGACTACTCACTGTTCAGAGGAGTCCCTGTTGCACGCAAGTTACCCAATAAATCATCATTAAATAAATGAATAAATTAGTGCTTCAGTATAAATGTATGACTTTGTTTAACCCCTAGCACACGAGGAGAATATTTCCCCTTACTCTCGCCAACAATAGTAAGCTTTTAACGTTTGCGTGAGCAACAGAAAATGCTAAATGGCACTTACCGTGGGCTGGGTACTGTTATAGGTACTACATATATGAAAACTTATTTCATCCTTACAACAATCCTTTTACTGATGACAAAACAGAGAAGTTGAATAACTTGCCTGTGGACCGTGTAGCTAGTAAATGGTAGAATGAAGTTGCAAACCTTAAGCCCATGTTCTTAATCATTTTACTTTACAATTTCATTATTCCATTAAAAATGCTACCTATGACCAGGAGAGGTGGCTCACGCCTGTAGTCCCAGCACTTTGGGAAGATCACTTGAGGTCAGGAGTTCGAGACCAGCCTGGCCAACATGGTGAAACCCCGTCTCTACTAAAAATACAAAAAATAGCTCAGTATGGTGGCGGGCTCCTCTAATCCCAGATACTCAGGAGGCTGAGGCAGGAGAACCCTTGAACCTGGGAGGCGGAGGTTTCAGTGAGCTGAGATCGTGCCATTGCACTCCAGCCTGGACGACAAGAGCGAAACTCCTGTCTCAAAAAAAATGCTACCTATTGTTATTTTATTTTGCATTGCTTCTACTACTGGTGTGTGTGTGTGTAAGAGACTTTTGTATATTTAATGACCATTTGTATATTTTAATATAAAATACAACTGCAGGTTCTTTGCTCTTCATTTTTTTCCAACATAAGTTGGGATTTTGATCTTCCTCTGATTTATTCATAAGAATCTTTTATATTTATATTTCAGGGCTACTAAATCTTTGTCAATGGCGATTTTTCTTTGACGAATAAAACAATTTTTATATAGTCAAATGGAGCAATTTTTTTTCTTTTAGACTTTCGGGCTTTAATGATGTGTTAGCAAATGCTTCCCTATGATTTAATTTTTATGTGATAATTTCATTTTTAAAATAATCCTTTGCCTTTAAAAAATATATAACGTGACTTTGAATCAGACCAACTATCCCAGTAGTCTCCAACATGGCTGTACATTAGCATCTCCCATGTGTCTGAGTCAGATCCTGAACCAACTGAATCAGAATTTCTGGAGTTAGATCCTGCATATCTTTACATTTCAGATGTGAACCCCAATGATATATCTTTCTTTCTGATGTTTCTTTTTTGTATACTAGTAAAATAATCACCCAATCAGGGATATGATGTACTGTAACCTTTCTTCACCTGACAGTATATATTAAGTTTTGTTATCAGCATTATTGCAGTGTTGTAAAAGTTGTCTGCAAGTTTTCTTCTTCTGCTACCTCCTGGGACAATTTAAGTTGTAAAATGATTTCTTTTATTCTTATTCATCTCTACATTTAAAAATATCTCTTGTGTTAATTCCGGCAATTTGTATTTCTATATAGAAATTATCTCCATTAAAACTTTAAAATATAGTTCTAGATTTTTTGATTCCCCCAGTATTTTTGGTTTTCAGTTAGAGCCCTAGCAAGTCTATATAAAATACACTGAGGATGGTAATCTGATGGGGTTATGGTGGGAGCTATTCTTAGACTTGTATGGAAGCTCTGTTTGCATAGCATTTTATCTGAATTTGAAGAAAGATCCATTGTCTGTGTCAAATATTAATATTCCAGAGATGTACACAAAGCAGATTTTCATGTATTCACTGTCTCTTTTCAAGGATATGGCTTCCCCTATAACTCCTAGATAGGATCTGGAAAGGAATACAATTCTAGTCCCTTAATAGCATTAAAAGTAGGAAGAAAGATGTTTCAAAGTGAATGAGTCATGTAATGTTTGCCATTGTTTTTACCCTCACTTTCTATAATATGTACCATAAATCTCTATTTCACTTTGAGACGAATTGTGTCTTCTATACATTTTTTCCTGAATAAAGAAATGCCTGTCTTATTATCACAGATTGGCTCTTTGTGTTGTTAAACCTTTACAAAAAAGAAAAAAAAAAAGGCTTTTTAAAATAGAGAAAATACAGAGTATCTGTAAGACTCCTTTCAACTATTATTTATATGCAAATAAATATCTACAATTACTCCTGCCAGATAGAAGGTGAAGAGTGTTAACAAGCATAGGCGCATAAAACTCAGGTTTTCTATGCGGAAGTTGGGATAATCTGATCCTGGGAAGACTGAGTGATACTATTAATCAGATGTGATGAAAGTGCAAACCAATTGCAATGAGCCATACAATTTGTGCAAGATAGAATAGCAAATTATATATCTGATAGGAAGTTAATATCATATATATATATGGTAGTATATGTATATATATATATGTATACATCAAACAACTCAGTAGCAAAAATAAAATAAAATAACCCCAATTTAAAAATTGGCTAAGGACCTGAATAGACATTCCTCAAAAGAAGATATGCAAATGGTCAGCAGGTATATAAAAAGGTGCTCCACATCACTAATCATCAGAGAAACACAAATCAAAACCACTCCTGTTAGATAGGGGTTATCAAAAAGACAAAGACAAAAGATAAGTATTGGTGAAGAGGTGGAGGAAAAGGAACCCTAGTACACTGTTGGCGGGACTATCAATTAGCATAGTCAATATAGAAAACAGTATGGAGGTTCCTCACAAAATTAAAACTAGAACTACCACATGACCCAGCAGTCCCACTTCTGGGTATATATCCAAAGGAAATAAAATCAGTATGTCAAAGATATACCTACACTCCTGTGTTCATGGCAGCATTATTTACAAAATACAGAGGCAACCTAAGTGTCCAGAAGTAGATGAATGGATAAAGAAATTGCGGTACTCTGTGTGTGTGTGTGTACTGATTAACCTTGAAATAAAAAAGGGAATCTTGCCATTTGCAATAACATGGATGAACCTGGAGGACATTATGCTAAGTGAAATAAGCCAGAAACAGAAAGACAAATACTACATGATCTCACTTATATGTAGAATCTAAAAAAGTCAAACTTATAAAAGCAGAGAATAGAATTGTGGTTGCTAGGGTGTGGGAGAAGGGGTAAGTGATGGAGGTATTGGTCAAATGGTACAAAGATTCAATTACTAGAGATGAATAAGTTGTGGAGGCCTAATGTATAGCACAGCATCTTGAGTTAACAATACTATATTGCATACTTGAAATTTGCTAAGAAAGTTGATCTTAAGTGTCTTCACCACTGAAGGAAAAAAAACTTTTTTGAGATAGATAGATGTGTTAATTTGCTTGATGTGGTAATTATTTCACAATATGTACACATATCCAAGCTTCACATTGTATACTTAAATCTATACAATTTTTGTTTCTAGAGTATACATCAATAAAGCTGAAAGAAACATGAAAGATAGAATACTCAGTATTGTAACTTTCCATGGCATTAGTGCATGATTCTTTCTTCTCACTGAGGCTCAGTATCACCCCTTCCCATGTCATATGTTCACGGATGCCACGATGTCTTCTTTTATCCTCCCAGGGTTGTAAGCCAGGGTTTTCTTCACTTTAGTACTTATAAGTAGAAAGCTTTTTGAAGTACATGGTTTTCCTCTATTGATTATGGAGTATAATATGAGGATTGACCATAGCACTCATCCTCACCAATACTTATCTTTTGTCTTTTGTCTTTTTGATAACATCTAGGTATTTCCAGTGCCTAGCAAAGGAGAAAAGAATGAGTAATCCAAATAAATGTAATCATTTTTGTTTTTGTAGGATGCAGGTTGTTATTATGTGCGTGACTTTATCTATATAACAAGGATACCTTCAGTGTCTCTAATTATCCATCTCTCATTAAATAGACTCAGCCAATGATGATTAAAAATAACACCACCACCCATAAGAGTAGCTACCTCGGTTTTCATAATAATGGAAAAGTAAAAATTCCCTAGAATGGTGTCCCCAAACAGGAGGTGGTTTTGACTAAATTATGTCACAATTAGTAGTGAAATATATCCATAAAAATTGATATGGGAGACTATGTAATAACATGAATAGATGCTTGTAATATGTAGTATAAGGGGAAGAAGGATGAAGTACAACATATTCTTTCAGTATTATAAAAACACAAGAGAAAAAGAGAGAATAAGACCAAACCATAAATACCAACATGAGGAACAACTACTAACACGCTAAATTACCTCCAAGTGTCAGGATTGAGGGTAAGCTTTCAATTTATTTTTAGTTAACATGTACCTGTTTTCTAAATTTCTAACTAGACATGTTTCCTTTTAAAGAAAAGAGTTCTTGTGAGCACTTCTAATGGTTTTCCTCTGCCTTCCATTTTCATCAGATTGATGACATCACATTCTCCTTCTCGTTGTCTTTTGTAGCTCCTTTCAATTTACTAGCTCCCAGCACACCCAGTCAGCAAACATTCATTGAACTCTTTGTAATCTGTGTATGCAAGTAATGGAGCTATGTTCAGATGATGTATAGGGAAATTAGACATAATCTCAAACTTCAAGGGGTTCACTATTCATGCCATGGTGCGGACTAATAGTTAAACATAGCTCTTCACTGAGTGCTCATGGAAGAGACCGTATGCTTAGAGTACAGGGCAAGGGTCTGGGTGTGTCAGTAAGCAGGAATCAGAGACTTGCTTTTTTAGAATCGTGCCTAAAATGAAAAGGAACACACGCAGAGTCCTCCTATGCAGGGTCTCCATGGTATACTATAGGGACAATGGGGTATCTGTGCATCCACCTTAGAGAAAATGCTTTACTCGCTTTAGCGTGATGGAATCTTTTGCTTAAATGGCACTGTGATATTGTTGGCTGTTACCAGAGTTTTGCCGTGTGGTCCTACTGCTGATCTTTGCCTTTTTGGGGGAGGAAGAGCTGTTTTCACCACAGCTTGGCCCCATCAAATTAAAGGGAAATAAACATATGTATAGAATGAACCCAGAAGAGGATTTGTGAGTTCTTAATTTTAGAAATACATACTTTGTAGGATAGAGTTAGTAAAAACATAAAAAGGAGAGAATTCATTTTAAACAGTCAGAATTATTTCTTGCACTTTAAAGCACAAATGTAACCCTTTAACAGTCTTATGAGATGTCATATAATCTGTTTCAGATTTAATTAAAACATAAAGTGATATATCTTTTTGATAATGCTACAAGTTACCTTTCCCCACAATAATTTCAGTCTTTACTTTTCTGATCATGCTAATATAGTAAACCCCTGAAATGTCTACTCCATTTTTAAGTTTGGGTTGATTTCTTATCAATGCTTGGCAAATACCTCTTTTCTATTGCCTGCTTTGCTGTGAGACCAACCTTGAAGAACATGTAGATCTTTCTATGAAAGTGGTTGATCAGAATTCTGCATCTTTGTAAGTTCACTTGTTTCACCTTTATACCATATGCAGATTGCTATTAAAAGATGTTAATAAATTTGGTGACTGTTGGATGTGCTTTCTGGTTGATGTGAAAAATAATACTGTTAAGGAATGTGAACATTCATCGGTGAGTGTTTATTAAAGTCTCAGGCCTACCAAGCCTTTAGCTTAAGAGGTCAATCTTGGCTGCAAAAGCTGAAGAGAATCCAATTTACTTATAACTAACAATATTTTATTATTGCATCAGTATAACAGGTATTAGGAAACTGGCATGCTCACATGCTACACAGTATTTTGTGCTTTAAGAATCTCTGACATGGTTTTCTTATTTTCATCATTTTTTTGGTGTCTAGAAAGATGTGAATGTGTGCTTTTTGCTGCAAACTTAAGGTGTGTTTAACTGAGCTATCTTTCTTAAAATAGAAGGTGGCCATTTTCCTTCATTTAGTGTTTTGTAGTATACAAACAGTTTCCTGGACTGCTAGCCCTCGAAATGTTACATTTGACAGAAGCCAAAAGAACATGCTCTGAAACAATATCCAGGTAATTGGGCACTTACATTTGAAATACACAAGCACAGCTATGATGGTCATGGTGAGGAAGGATAACATGCTATTAAAGGTGACAGGTGCTGGGGCCACACTTGGGTCCAAGTCTTATTTCTCTCACGACTGGCTATGTACTTGGGGAAAAATCCTTTATCCTCTGCAAGAGTCCATTTTCTCATCAGTGACATAGAGATTATGAATATTATCTCACTGTGATTGTGAAGATTAAATGATATGCCTATATATAATGCTTGTAGCCTAGAGCCAGGCACATTGTCAACAGCCTTGATAACAGCTGGCAAATATTGTTTTATAAAGGAAACTGTGTAGTAAGTAGCTCCGCAGCTCTATCTTATTTTATTCTGGTTCTGCCCCTTACAAGTTTGTATGCTTTGGGGCATGTCACTTCACCTTATTGCTCTTTAATTTTTTGTTAAAAAGATGTAGATACCTAAGCTTAACTAGCCTACCTCTGTTTCCAGGTTTACTTGCAAGCTCCCATCAAATCTGGGTGAAAAGTGACTTTCTCAAAAAGATCTAGAGGCTGGGAGCCGAGGTAGACATGGAGACGCATTGACCTGGTTCTGTCCCAGCTGCTCAGCCACCAGCATTGTAGTTACCTGACAGCTGAGGCCTTGCTATTCTCAGGTGTCCCTGGTCAATGACCCAGCAAGGCGGGGATAGCCAGGGGCAGATCCTTTGCAGGTGATTCCCGACCAATGCATGAGGAAAAAGCCTGAAAAGAAGTAGCTATTGTGGGGAAAGGTAACTTGTAGCATTATCAAAAAGATATATCCCTTTATGTTTTAATTAAGTCTGAAACATAGATTATATGATATGTCATAATGATGCAAGGGGCTGTCCAATTCCAGTTCTGCCCCTCAGGAAATTTCAATCTTTGCTTGAAGATGCTTCAAGGCTGGTGGAGACGTGCCCAATACTGTGACAGCCCCACCTGCCCCATCCTGCTTCCATCCTTTTCTTTTCACAGGTATTCTTCCCCAGTAAACCTCTCTCACACCTACTTTCATCTCAGTGTCTGTGTCCTGGAGAACTCCACCTCAGACAGGAGCCAAGAGTAAAATAAATCAAGAATATCCAGCCATCATCAGAATCTGGCAGGGTGACTAGGTAGACCTTGAGAAGCATTGAGGCAAAGAGGTTCCAGCTAGACCCGAGGGCAATGGCCCAGCACCAAGGCTCAGCTGAGGCTGTGTAGAGGAGGAGATGAGCATTAAAGCACCTAAGTAATGTAAAACTGCCCTGTAAACTCCTAAAGCACTGTTCAAATGGCAGCAATTTTTCATCTGTGTGGCAATGCATTGTTTTGCACCTTGCAGCATCGGGGAACCTACCTAATAAGGTTTCTGGGGTGTTGGGCACTGACTGCAGTCTTCTTTCTATTGGCAAAGTTGATGTTATTTTCAAAAGCACTCCTATACTCAGAGGGCTGAGGCAGAGTTAATGTGACAGCAGTAAAATTCAGGATATGTGGAATGAACACAGGATCTTTGAGGCCAATGAAGTTCAGGATTTTTCTCTGGGCTGCCAGCTCCAGATGCTTACCTTAAGGGAAAACATGCTTCTGTTGAGGATTTTGATGACCTGCATTTATGCGGCATAAGATAAGAATATGGAATTGTCAGAACTTGCTTTCAATAATCCCAGTTCTCTGTATCGGACGTTTATAAAGATGTTTGTTGTTGAAAAATAACTGGATAAATTGTTAATTATAGGGCAAGAACGGAATGGACTTATGGCATTCGGCATGCATTTTAATGGACATTTGGTAAAGGGTTTACGGGGAAAAATGCACTGCTATGTTCATTGCTTTTGTGCCCTTAGGATGGAGGCATTCTCTTTAAGCTACATAACTATCTTGGCTTCACTGTATCTGTAATAATAAATACACCTGCACTTTTTTTTTTTTTGGCCAGGATTCCTTTATATGACCAAATTTTATAGAACTTCTTGGTTTAAATGTGTAGCAGGACAAATTAGCTGTAAAGGTGTGCCACATATTCACAGTGCTGTTTTCCACTATAAAGATATACCTCAACACTTTCCACTAAGCACCTAAAACATACAGAAATGTTCAAGGGATGAGGGCAAAGAAAATCTGTATTTTCAATCTTGAGAAGTGTGGAAAACATGATGAAATGGTAAAAACTATTGTGTTTTCTAGTTAGAAACATAATAGTTGTAAAATTTGGTTCCTTTACTAATATTGGGCATATGGAATTTAGAAGTATAACTATGTTTCAATATATTATTGTTTATTGAAGTGTAGGTTTTCCAAGTGAACTAACTTTTCATTAGATTTCATGTTTGTTACGCCGGAAGCCTCAGTCATATTCTGAGAATCAAAACTGAATTGTAGAGGCTGGGCACAGGGCTCACGCCTGTAATCCCAGCACTTTGGGAGGCCAAAGTGGGTGGATCACCTGAGGTCAGGAGTTCAAGACCAGCCTGGCCAATATGACAAAACATGTCTCTACTAAAAATACAAAAATTAGCCAGGCGTGGTGGCATGTGTCTGTAATCCCAGCTACTCGGGAGGCTGAGGCAGGAGAATCGCTTGAACCCAGGAGGCGAAGGTTGCAGTGAGCCGAGATCATGCCATTGCACTCCAGCCTGAGCGACAAAGTGAGACTCTGTCTCAAAAAAACAAAAACAAACAAACAAACTGAATTGTAGAATATGTCTGGGGTATCGTAGTTTAAGTAACAGTAAAGTACTCTGAGCTCTGACCTTTTCTCTTCAGTGTTGCGTAGGTGTGTAAAACACCTTTGAGTAACAAAATAAAGTTTAAAAAAGAAGGAAAAGTATATAAACTTAAGCCAGCTTTGCCTAATCAGCTTGATTTTTTAGCTATTGCTATCAAAGTTCTTGTTTGATGGAGCTTTGCAATTGTTATCGATTTCTGACGTGCAATGTTTTATTTTATAGAGGCAAGGTACACAGAAGCTTTCTGTGAGGGGAGACACCTAGAATCAAGTTCTATACCAACGGGTTCTGTGACCTGGGCCCATCCCCGAAGCTGAGAACTCTTGGTCTCCTTATATTCAAATGGAGGCGCTACATCTAGATAGGCTGAAAAAGTCTCTCTTACTCTAACCTTTAATTATCTACTCTTTCCCATGCTTGTTATTTCTTAACTTTGCACTTTCAAAACACAAATAAAATTTTTGCATGATACAGAAACCGGAGATCTCTGAAGTAAACTAGAAAAGGAGGCTGGGCGTGGTGGCTCATGCCTGTAATCCCAGCACTTTGGGAGGCCGAGGCGGGCGGATCACAAGGTCAGGAGTTCAAGACCATCCTGGCTAACACAGCGAAACCCCATCTCTACTAAAAATACAAAAAAAAATTAGCCAGGCGTAGGTGGTGCATGCCTGCAGTCCCAGCTCCTTGGGAGGCTGAGGCAGGAGAATGGCATAAAACCCGGGAGGTGGAGCTGGCAGTGAGCCAAGATCGCGCCACTGCACTCCAGCCTGGGAGACAGAGTGAGACTCCGTCTCAAAAAAAAAAAAAAAAACTAGAAAAGGAACCCAAGACAATATTAAGTAAAATCTCTGCTATCCTTGGCCAGCTGCTTTCCTGGGTAGACCCCTTAGAAGTGTCTAACAGTTGTTAACCTTTGAAAGTAACTTTCACAACATCAGATCCTGAGAGGTCCTGCCTGTTCACAGTCCCTTCAAAGGTGGTAGAAGTGGAGGCTCACTTTCATTACTTTGTGCCTTGAATCCAAGAGATTTGCAGCAGTATGAATTTTCTGACAGCAAAATTATTCTCTTTTCCTAATAGGCTTTTTACTTGGTTTTGCTTTGTACTTTTAAGAAGAGATGCACTTGGATTAGCTGGGTCATTTGGGAAAGAATGTCTGCCAGATGTATACTGTATGATTCAGATATTGTTATTACTGAAGACATACCATTTTTTTCATCTTCAGGAAGTTTGACAGTTGAATCCAAACACATCTTCATTGATTGCAGTGTTTGTTATATTTCCAGATACTTTAAGAATCCTGATTATTACTGTTTTGTGAAGAAAGCTTTTTTTTTCTTTAGTAAGCACCTGCCCTCCCCCAGACAATGTGACTCTTACGCAAGGAGTTCCTATAGAGTTTGAGTGATGGTGTACGCTCAACTTGTTATTTTCTTGCCCATTCTTGAAGACAACTGCTAGGAAAAGCATCCAATAGAAGTTCACAAACTAGAAAAAAATTGGATTTTTTTTTCTGGTTTCTCAAGTGAAAAATTCAGTACTCCACAAAGACCAAAATTTGTTCTGCTTTTGATATTAAAAAGAATATTTTTTTCTGTTCGTCTTCTACCTTGGGATTATATTAATCTATTGCCATATATGATTTTACAATTACATGGGGCCATGGTATGATTAATACATATGACATAAATATGTATTATGGAACTTGCATGAATACTAAAGAAGGACACCGATTCACTGCGGGACATTTGGGAAGTAGCTAGCTGACCTCTTGGAGACTCAAATCCCTCATCTGTGCAGGAGGCACTACTGCCCTCACAACGTTCATGTAAGAACCAAACGAGGGAATGCATGTGGATTGCAGCATAGCACTGTGCCTGGCAAATAGTACACTCAACAAATTACATGACAATTTATTTTCTCATGGAGAAACATGTTTTCAATTTCTGAATCATATTAACCACTTTAAATAATATTTTATAATCTAACTTAATAAATGCTTGTAAGAGGGGAAGAAAAGTTTGACACAATATATTGCTCTGAGAATTTTCCTCTTTATTCTGGGAAACTACACATGTTCATGACCAACTGATGAGTGAATTTGGTACAGGTCATTGGAAATGCCTTTCCCCCCCAATTCTTGGTAAAGAACATAAGGTTATGATATTAAGAGACATTTTAAACTGCTTCCTTCTTTTCTTTTTAAGCATCTTAAAGGCAGGTCATCTAGATTTACTCATTAATATTTGCAAATTGTCATGTAAATGCTTATTACCAGTACAATTATGGCTTACCACATTGACAATAAACTGAAGAAAAAAAACAAAATATCTAAATCCAGTAGCAAAGATAAGAGCCTCCTTCTATGGATGACTCCAGGGAAAATGCTTACATACCAAACAGAAAGAGATATCAGTTTAAGAATTAAAAACATCAAGGTATACTGTTAGAGCTAATGTGGATCAAATATTACCAGAATCGGTGACTTTTTAGTTATTCCAAAACACAAGTAACATACTTTTACTTTCATAGAGTTGAAGAATTTTAGAAAAGTTAAACTGGTCTTTATGGGTAAACATTTTCAGGTTTACAAAGTTTTAGTCAATTATAAAGCTTGAAGGATTATGAGATAACCAACCCCCTGCAAACATTTCTAGAATACTGTCTACCTGCCAAATGTCACTTGATTATGTGCTTAAGGTGGACAGAGAGTTCATGTGTTTGACTTATGGATCAGAGTTGCCGTAGTGCTGGGTCCCAGGTGAGTCCATGGTATGACAAGGGCAGGTTTTATGGGGTATACAAAGCAAAGGAGAGCAATTATGAAAATAAAGATATTTTAAAGTAACCCTAGTCCCTGACAGAAATTGGAAACTTAGGGCAAGAGGTGGCTAATGCCCAACAGTGTGCTGTGCAAAGGATAAACAATTGCCTCTTACAGAGACAGCTGGGAGGCCAATTTCTGTGGTGCAGAACCCACCATGGCCGATTTCAAGTTACCAGCATGAAAGCACTGAACACGTAGATGGGTAGAGATACTAAGAATTGGCTCTTACAAGATGGGCTCCAGCACACCACCAACTCTCTCAGTATGGCTGGCTCATCTATGCATTATTTTCTTGTTGGCTTATCATAAAGTGGAAAGTCTTACCGTGGTTAATCATTTTTTAAAATATTTTCTTTCATTTTCTTACCAGGGACATAAGAATAAATTTAATCAAAGTAGATAAGGAGAAACTGGATAAAGATGGCCCATGGTATAGCCTGGAGGGTGTCATTTTTACCATAGTTTATGTGGATGGTGCCTCCTGGAGTTGTGCAGGATAGGGCCTGCACAGCTATATGCAGTGGCCCTGCCACACCTTCATCTGCTTGACTTCACCACTTATCTCTCACACACATACACACACACACACACACACACACACACGTGCCCAGCAACTAATGATATCTCCTACTCTGTGCTAGGCAGTTATTATTCCAGCTCATTCCCTTCTTCCAATCTAAACTTGACCTGTGACTATTCAGGCTCCATCTGGTACTGGTGGTTCTCACAGGATACCGGAGCAAGCCTAGAGGGGAATCAGGAAGAGGGAAATAGGGACCTCTGAAAACAATGTTCATCAGCTATGTGCAGATGTGTTTCAGGAGGCAGTCTGGGAGGCAAGGGTAGAGAAGGCGCAGGATACTCACAGTTCTGTCACTAGCTCAGGAGCACTTAGGCATAGTGTTCATTATCTGGGGGAGGAAAAAGAATAAATCAGTGCTTCTACATTCAGCTAAATTACCCTTAAAAGACCTCGCCACTCAGTTGGCTTCCCCAGCTGAGTCATGGCTTCCTGAGCAGCCAGGGGGCCTAAGGAAGACTCTGTGGGTGGCTCTGAATGGGGCAATAACACAGTGCTAATCCCACCAACTTGGACATGAGCTTTTTAAAAAGAACAACAAGACCAGTTGATTGATGGTGTTATTTTGGTTTTTTGTGGGAAGGAATTTACTTTGGGAGTATACTTGTGCTGCTCAGAGCTTTCAAATGCAGGGAGGATTTTAGAGGAGGGAATGTCATGTTCCCAGACTTTTAGGGCACACCTGAGAGCATTATCCGGCAGACCAGGACTCAAGGGACTTGGCAGCAGGCACAGTCAGGCTCTGCCTAGGCACAGCTCTAAGTGTGGTCTGGTCTATGGCTGTGTGCACAACACTGGCGAACCGGCGCCCTCCTCCCCCACATACACATTTACAACATGCTCATCATTTCTTCCAAGGATGGGAAACCCAAAATAAATAAAAATAAATCTGGCTGCCATGTTCTTTTCTGCCAAAAATAACTAATAAAGCAGTCATTATAATTTTTCTAGGATATTACGGATCTTTCAAACAGAATGCCAAACTATAAAGATGTGTGGAATATGAGCACAATATATACTATGTGAGTAAAGAAGCTACAGGCTGCGGGTAATAGGAGAACTACTTCAAAGCAGCTATGGGAAAGCTAAAAGGGGTTAGAAGTAGGAGAAGGTTATTAGAACGTCATTAGGCCATTTCATGGAAGCCAAGAGCAGAAAGGCCACGGATGTATGGACTGGAGCCAGGATTGGAGCATGGGGGAGCCTGCATGGATTGGTGACTTTTTCCACAGAGTGTGGGTTCGTGCCTCTTTAGCTGTAGATCAGTACTCTGTCCATAGGTCTATAGGACAGAAAAGGATGGCCAAGAGCTCCTGAATTTTACATGTTCCAGTCCAGGGACTAAAGAGATTTCTCTTTCCAACCCAGTCTACACAATTGATGAGGAAGAAACAGGAGTTTCCCCAGGTCAGGTGTGACCCCTGATCAATCAATTGTGGATGGGCACAGAGTCGGGGAAGGATTTTGATTAACCGGGCTCGGGTCTCCTCTGCCCGCAGAAGTGAATACTACTTTGCCTCCTGCTGGAATCCCTTTCCGTCCATGAAAATACACAATGGATTAGAAGGGTCAGGGGTTTGGAGTCAGGCAAATCTGAGTCTCGCTTATTAGTTATGCAACTCTGGACGAATCACTTAATCTCTTCAAAATTCAATGTCCTCATCTATAAAACTGGACTAAAACTATTGGCCATGCAGCATTGTCAACCTAAAAGGATGCTGAGTGGGAATTTTCCTCATGCCCAAAAGTGAGGCCAAAAAGAACTGTGAAGAAATTGACATTCTCTGGCACAGCGGTTCTCAAAGTGAGTCCTGGGACCATCAGCATCAACCTCACCTGAGAACTTGTCAGAAATGCAAAATCTTGAACTCTAGCCTAGACTTACTGCGTCAGAAACATTGGACATGGCAACCAGTGATGCAGGCCGCAGTTTGAGAACTTCTGCTCTATGGACCTAGAAGGAACCTCCAAAGAGCCCTCCAGAGTGGACCACAAACTCCTGGTGGAGGCCAGTTGAATCTACTCCTCCCAGGTAACCTCTTCTCAGACAACAGTCTATAATGCAGGCTATGGGGAGGACAGGCACAGGAGGGAATATCTGGAGTCCAAAATATTTGGGATATCGAGGGTCTAGTGTGGTTTACATGGGAAAAAATAAGATTTCTCCACCTTAAGCCAAGTGAAGATTAAAGATTGGGGGTGTTTGAAACAACGGGGAATTAAGTCTCCCCTGGCCAGGTGCCATGTAACTGTGGAAAATTGCAGACCTGCTTTGCTGCCAGCACGGTTGGAAGAAGTTCTTGGGAAAATATTTCTCCTCTCTCAGAGCTTCTAGACCCTGAAGAGAGAGGGGAAGCAAAGGGAACTAGCAGACCACGTCTCCTCCTCACTGAAGGATAGGCCAACCAGATAGGCAGGGGAGGGTAGGAGACTGTGGCTTTAAATGGGAGGAGCTAAGCCTGGCATAGTGTAAAAACACCGTTCCAATAACCGGAGGTAAATAGATGCCATAGGATGTGACCCATATGGCATTGCATCATTGCAAAGAGTGATTTTTAAAAAGAGCTGTGTTGAAGGCAATTAGTAGAAAATAAAAAAATAAAAGTATTTGAGATGCTGTTTGGAAAACACATAAGCATCGAGGATGGTTACTAAAGCATTGTCATTTATTGAGTGCCTCCATGGTCCAGACTCTTCGATAAGCAACTAAAAAAAAGAATCACATTACATGTTTATAACAACATTGTGAGGCGGTTATAATTCCCACATTACAGAGAAGAAAACTGAGGCCCAGAGGAGGGGAGACAAGTTGCCAAAAGCACACACTGAGTCAGCAGAACCCAGCCCCGGCCACCATGTGCCTTTCCCTGACACTGAAGCCGCATTGTAACCATTGCTTGTTTAGGGTGGCTATTTTAATAATACGTTGATCCCTAAATCGGGGATGTTACTCATTTCCTTCTGGAATGGAATCCTTGAGCATTCCAACTGCAGATCAGGGTAGGGAGACTGTCTCTCTGTGCTTCATTGGTTCTTGTGGACCCCCACACAGAGGTCCCGGCCAGGGACAGTCTCCGCGCTGCTATTTCAGAACCGGGAGTCCGCTTTTCAGAGCTGGTATTTATTAGGTTGGTGCAAAAGTAATTGCGGTTTTTGCCATTACTTTTAGTGCCAAAAATCGCAATTACTTTTGTACCAACTTAGTACATGACCCTGTCTTGCGACTTAAAACTCAAGGCAAAGATACTCCAAGTGCTAACTTTAGTTTCTCAGACAAAGCTCTAGATAATGCCTATGAAAGGGCTCTGTAAATCGTGAAAGGGCCGAGCAGTGTGCAGCCTCACGGTGGAGTCACCTGGACTCCACTCAGAAAGGCTGCAAGTCTCTTACTTTGAGAGTGGCAAACGGTGCTTGCTGGCATCTTCCAGTCCTGAAAGTAAAATCGAAGCCATTCAATGCCTGTCTCTCCCTTGCACACACACCCATTTATGAGCATGAATCACAGATTTCCAAATAACAAATATGAACTTTAGAAAAAAAAAAAAACACCCACCGCATAGCCCAGAGCCTTCCAACCCCCCTTTCCAGCTGTCGATCAAGGCGGATTCTGACTAGCCCAGGAGGAGGGGGTGGGGAGGCGGAGCTATTAAATCAGGCCCCAGGAGGTTCGACACTTGCAGCCATTTGTAGTGAAATTACCAGCTGAACTTGGTTTAGAACCTCGCTGGAGCCCTCCCTGAAGGGTGTGGTTCAGAGCTGAGCAATTTGCTGTGGGTGAAAGCTTTGTGGTTGATTACTGAGCTAAGGAACAGGTCACCGAAAACCAAAGGAGCCGGAGGGTGTACCAGAAAAGCTTCCAGCTGCAAGAAGCCATGCTAAGGTCACTCTCATTCTTTTCTAAGCATCTAGAAATACATTGCTGTTAATTCTAATAAAACTTCAGCAGGTCCTCAAATAACATCTTTTCATTCAATGTCTTTTTATAACATTGATGAGAAAAAAAATAAAAAATATCAATTCCTGGCCAGGGCCACCATCTGTGTTTGCAAGTTCTTCCCATTTCTGCCTGGGTTTTTCCTGGGTACTTTGGTTTCCTCCCACATTTCAAAGATGTGCATGTTAGGTTAGTCTACATGGTCCCAGTGTGAAGGAGCGTGGGTGTGGGTGTGAGCGTGCCCTGTGATGGGATGGTGTCCTGCCCAGGGCTGGCTTCCACCTTGAGCCCTGAGCTGCAGGGATAGACTCCAGCCACCTGAGACCCTGAACTGGGATAACTGGGTAATCAATCATCATCATTGTGTTTATTAATCTTTCATCGACGTATGTATAGCTTGCATGTATTTCAATGTTGAATATTGTGTTTTGGTCTTTATTTAGGAGTTTGGGGATGTTTTTGTGACCAGAAATACGCTGTAGAAACTTAACTCTTGTTTATATCAATTAGCCTAGGATAAAACTGGTTTTGTTACACATCATTTTGCTTAATGCTGTGGTTTCCAAGAACCGACAGATGACATTAAGTGACGACTTTATTAGCTACGCAGGCTGACTGGCTTGCAAAAGTGCTCCAACAACATCCTATTTGGAATGGACACCAGTCTCACAAGGCAAAGCTACAGGAGCTTAGCTGTTGAGGAGTCAGCTCTTCCTTCCGAAGACCTGCCTCTCCTTGTCCAGAAAGCCTATGCCACCCAAAGGGACTGTGTCCTGACAGAAAGGCAGGCTGCCTGCCAGAATAAGGATTAAAGCACAGAAACTCAGGATCCCTCCCCCAACTTTATGTGGCTCACACAATGTGAACTGATGCTCACACCTTATACTTGTAATTGTGTCTCTACATTTATTATTGATAAAGTACTATCTTAGGTATGATCTCATTTAATATTTACAACTAACCTGGGTGTGGTGCTTTTAAGCCTCACTTGACAAAAAAAGCAAAAGAAAACATCCAAGTGTTTGTCCCAACAGGCATAGTAATGAATGGCATAAAAATCAATGTTGAGAGATTTGTCCAGTGTGTTTATCAATACCCCCTAGTATATACTTCATGTTAGATCTTTTAAGAATTTGTGCACAGAAAAAAAATCCACAAGAAATCATCTGTTCTTCAGAGTCAGGGTCCCTGTCTCTAATGATTATGGGTTATGGGTCTCCTCAAGCTCCCCTTTTTCTCTAGGCTCCCAGCAAGACCAGAACAACCAATAGAGGGCAATTCTTGCAACTCTGTGAGCCTTCATGCATGGCATATTTGCTTTCTCTTTTCTTTGAGCTAGTTTTTCTTTTCTTCTAATTAACTTGTCTGTATACAGAAACTTTAGATTCTTTGGGAACTGAGGACAGCTATAAATAAATACATAAATATAATAGCAACAAGCAAAAATGTGAGTGAGAGAGCCGGCCTCCAAGACAGACCTCCTGATTCCAAATTCATTTCCACATCACCATATGGTCTCGTCTGCCATTTCTGCTAAAGGATCCTTGGGACAAGGTGCATTTTGCTTCCTGAGAGATGGTGTATTAGTCCATTATTACATTGCTATAAAGAAATATCTGAGACTGAGTAATTTATGAAGAAAAGAGGTTTGACTGGCTCGTAGTTCTGCAGGTTGTACAGGAAGCAATAGTGCTGGCATTTGCTTCTGGAGAGGTCTCAGGAAGCTTGCAATTATAGCAGAAGGCAAAGGGGGAGCAGATGCCTTACATGGCGGGAGCAGGAGCAAGAGAACGTGGGGGGAGATGCCACATACTTTAAACAACCAGATCTCATGAGAACCCACTCACTATTGTAAGAACAGTACCAGGCGATGGTGCTAAACCATTCATGAAAAATCCACCTCCATGATCCAATTACCTCCCACCAGGCCCCACCTCCAACATTGGGGATTACAATTTGACATGAGATTTGGGTGACAACAAAGACCCAGACTAAATCAGATGGGAAGGTAAGGGACATGGAACACTGCGACCACATTACTATGCCCTCACCTGCCTGGGCAGCAGGGATCTCAGGCCTCATCAGAGCAGAACGATCTGGAAGTTGCTGGCCACATGCCACTGATTTTCTCTCCCAGGAGCAACCCAGCAGTCTTTCCTTGAGGGAGAAATTTAATTACAAGAAATTTGCAAACATATTTGGGAAGAAAGGTAGGGCAGCTATGCTTTAATTAGATAGAGGCTGGTTTTAATTGCCTTCCTGGCAGTGTGTCCCCTTGGGAGTCTGGTGCTTCTGCAAATGAAGACTTGAGTAGAGAATTAGAAAAGGAGCTTTGGTTTGGACATTCCTCGCCACTGGATTGGCTACCACATTCAATCCTAAATTGCAACCTGATAGAGTTATTTTCAGATTTCTGAACCTTACTTCCATCCATGTGATGTTGCTTCCAGTCTGCTGGAGCCGAGGGGCAACAGTCGAGCTGATTATTTGGTCTGCAATGGCCCTAGGTCAGAGCAACAGGCATGCTCGACAATCCTCTGCTGGAAAATTCCAAACTCCTCAGGCCCGCTTTCCATATAAGGAGCCTGTGTGCAAGTGTGTATGTTCCAGAATATTTGTACATGGAAATGAGAGTGTGTGTGAGTAAGCATGTGTATGTGTGATTGTGTGTGTGAGTGCATGAGGGTGGGTAAGTGTGCAGGCATGTGTGTGTATGCATGAAGAAATATGTTTTGTGGGGTTTTTTTTTGCTTTTCAATAATTTTATTTTTTTTCTAATTTTGTTACTATAATTTCCCGTAGCACCTTGGCGATGTTGAAAACAAATACAAACACAAGGATGTACTCATTTTAACATTTTATGCATGAGCATGTGTCACACCAATTTGGGGGGCGACAGTTTTGACAACAGGAACAAATCTAAGCAATCGACAAAACAGAAGCCGGATAACTGGCTCTGACCCCCACCCCCAACATTTAAGGGACGTCAAAGGACACCTGAATAAGGTTAAAAAAATCAAGTTGATATGGATATTTCAACAGTGTTCTGTATTGCAAAACTGAAAATAAAACCATTTAATACACAGCCCATTGATATCTGAGTTACGCTTTTAGGAACTGTCAACTCGAAGATTCATAAAAAGTTGTCAGCTTTTAAAAATAAACTTCAAGTTATCTAATAATCAGGTGAATTTCAAAGGAGAATTTACTCACAACTTGAAAATAAATTCTCTTTCAACTTCTTAAAATATCCTCATTCAGCTAATGAAAAGTGAAACATGTATGTATCTTTTTGGAAGCTCAGACTAGCATAGGCCCAAAAGCCTAAAGTTAAATTAATGGCCACCAAAATTGCAAGGAAATATTAAAAATTAGGAAAAACTCCATCATATATTATAGTCAATAATTTATAAAAGCCCCTCAAAAGGAATACACTGTTCTCTTTTGAGTTTTATCTTTTCTGTAAAAACAAAATTGGTAATTTTAAAATATGGTTAATATATATATTGCCAGCCTAAATACCAGAGACTTAACCGCAGTGTTGTTTGACTGGGTCACAGTAACACCAGTGGACATTTAAGCCAAGAGACTAATTATTAAGGCCATAACTAAGAAAACTAGAGAAGTGTTCATTAACTTTTAAATACTATTTTATGTTCCAGCAACATTCTTTTTGTTCTTCTTTACCCTAGTGAAGATGCTAACATTCCATCACTAAGACTTTCCAGAGCAAACCTGTTTATTTAAAAAAGAAAAAGGAATGTGAAATAATATTCAAGCTATCTTAATTTTAGGAAACAAAAATAAGTCAGAATTCTGCACAGCATCTGATCATCTGCAAATTCAGCACATAAGACAACTACCACAACAAACCTTTCTCATTGAAAGCTCTTATCTTCCTCAAAATCCAGTTGAAAACAATTCAGATGGATCACTATTTTAAATGTCAGTGTATCTGGCAAAATTAAAATTACTCAGAGACAGGCCCTAGGTATTATGAAAACCTTAATTATCAGGATAGCAAATGGAGACAGGTTTTGCAATGTCTCTATGTACCTTCTCTATGAAGTGCAAAGTGGTGAACTTGTGTGACTCTTGTTCTCTTCATGCAGTAAGAACTATGGCAGAGTGTGCATGAAGAAATAGGTGTTTGAGTGTGTGTGTTGGAGTGAGTCAATGTATGTGTGCATGAGTGAGCATGTGAGTATAAGTGTGTGTGTGAGTGTATAAACATGCATGTGCATAGGTGTTTGTGTATGCATGCCTAAGTGTGTATGAGTGTGAATTGCATGAGTGTTTGAATGAGAATATGAGTGAGCTTTTGAGTGTGAATGTGAGTGATCATGTGGTTAAGTGTGCGCATGTGTGTTTGCTATGGTCTCTCTAGTTGCATTAGGAGGAGGAATGAGGGAAAGAGAATGAAACCAGAATGGGCAGATTGCTCGACCTCGCCCTGACCTGATGGCGACAAAAGCGCAGAGCTAAAACTGTTGGCTACAGTGAAAACACAGTTTATCTCCCTCTCACACCTAAGCATCCTTAAATAAATAAGGGAGAGCAGACAAACAAGATTCCCTGGAAAACAAGATAATGAAGTAATCTTCCCATTTGGCTTCCCATGCAGGATCCACAGAGAGACAGGCGTGTGGAACAGCCTGCAGGCGGGTTCACAACACATTCTATGTCCACCCAAGCTTGTTCTGAATTGCACAGATGGGAGGCTCCAGCCAGAGTGATTTTAGCAAGCAGCAGAACCAGTGACATCATTCTGGCTGTAAGAGAGTGGAGTCCCTAAGGAGGTCTTGTTTCCCTCATTTACTGAAAACACAAAACGCATCAAGGGCAGAACTGGGGCCAAACCCCAGCGTGCTTGATGTGCATTTAGAAGATAATTTATCCTGGTTGCCTCAGAGAGGCCTGCTTACGCACGTATTGTCCCGTCTTCATACTAATCCCTTCTTTCCATCCCGTCAGAGGCCGTCTAGCTCATGTCTGGGATGTTTATACTCTGTTATCACTGGTCTCCTTTTTCACCCCATTCTATAAATTACTGCCCCTTAATCAACTTTAAAATTGCCTTGAGGATGTCACTCCCTTGTTCAGAGATATTTGCTGGCTCCGCATTAATTAGAAAATAAAACCTAAGATATTTAATTTGCAGCCAAGATTCAGTACAATCTAATTCTCACTGTTCTTGTTTTTGACATACCTTCTTCCACTTTATCAAAACTTGTCTACTAATTGCATAAGTAACATACCCTATTTATTCATTCTTTTATTCAAAAAATACATAATGAGCGCTTTTCATGTCCCAGGCAGCACACTAGAGACCATAGCACCTGCTGTGAGCAGCTATGCTACTACATTCTCTGTAGGAAATATTAATATACAGGGCTTCTGTGTGTACCACTTCAGGGGTGCCATATACAGTGATCACAATATAATGATGCCTTTTGGATTTTGTAGTGCGTCACCTCTATGTGTAATTTTTACAGCCTTGAAAGGGGAGTGGTTACATTAAATTCATTTTATGGTTGAAAAAACTAAGGCATGGTGTGGGCATTGAAATCCAGGGACCTGTATTCAAAACCGTTATATATAATTAACATTGTTCTGCAGGTTCTCTGGGAAGATACATGATCGTGCACTTTTCTGCTTTTAATTTTTTTTTTCGTATGCTAGAGTTGATGAAGAGAATTAACCAATCAACCTTCATCAAGGCAGGTTTGCATTTTCTATTTCTTCTGTAGCTGCATCAGCCCATCTAAATTCTACACTAGAGTCAACGTGCTGTCATTGAATGGGCATGAGTTTTGGGATCTGACTATTCTTAATTCAGATTCTGGCTCTGTTTACTAGCCTAGGTAATATTCACCAAATTAGTTAACCCTATGAATAAATTTATTATTCATTAAAAGGTTATAATATATTATAGATATTAGAATACATACATATATATGTTGCAGAATTTGTAGATAGATTGAAATACAATGGAAAGCAGAGCCTTTAATATAGTACCTGCCATACAATCTAGTACTCAATGAACACTAGCCATTGCTTTCCCATCACTGTACTCAGATTAAGGGGAGAGGCTGCCATTCCTCCTATGAGAGGCTTCTCTGGGATGAATGCTTGACACAATTCTCTGCCATTCTCAGGGAAATAAGGTAAGAAGTATACTCTCAAAGGTGTGCCCCTCATGCCTCTGTCAAACCAGATTATTTCTGGGTCAGCTCTGAAACACACTTCCACAAATTATTTCTAAGCCTTTGCTTGTGGACATTTCTGAACCACAATCCAGGGATCTAAGAGGGAAATTATGTCCTCCAATGCCTATGTTCCTGGGAAGGAACTTCCTATACTTTTCCTGTTTCTGTCTGGGTAACTTCCCACACCCTACCAAGGGCAGTAGGACGGGGTCCGAGGATTGCAGGGTGCCGCCCACTATGCAGTTGGGATGCATCACAAGTGCACAGTTTCTATCACACAGTCACACTGCACACGATCACTGCCAAATGGTCTCTTCCTATTGCTCCAATCAGCAAGTACACTTTTAAGCCTGAAGACTTGGAGGTTATGAATTTCATGTTGGTTCTATGCCTGATGCCCAATTAGATTAGATTCTACTTTCAGCCCAAAAGAAAAAAAAAAACAAACAAACTTTTCTTTGGAAAAAAATAGTTTTTGTCCAATTTATATCTTAGGTTTACCATGGGGGCTTTAGTTTAAAGTTGTTCTCATTGGAGATTCTTGATTGGCTGGAAGCCCCTGGGCTGTGCTTATAAGAAGTGGCCAAATAACAATGGAATGATACCAATAGTGGTACTGGGTAATGTATTTAAGCATCGTGTTCATTGTTTTGCATTCATTACATCACTGCCAGTGACTCCAGGCCACATACCAGACACACTGAAGGAGCCTTTCCTAAAATACAGATTTCCAGGCCACAGCCCATGCCTCAGAACCTAGTGTAAAATTCTATATTTTAAAAAATATTTTATTAGTGATGTTAGTGCATAGAAATACAGCAAAAGGGGAAAAAATCCCGAGGGTGATAACTACTATCAATGACTGGAGTAGGAAAAGTCATTTCCTAAGGTCCTTTAGAAAGTGGTGAAATTGTAGACTGGAACTCAATCCATCCTGATCTCAGAGCTTGAAAACATAACCCCTACCTAAAGTGAAACAGGTCCAAGAGCACAGACCAATCCTGTGGGATGCTGAGGGTCACTACCTGTGTATTCTGACTCAGTGGGTGTAAGAAAAGGCCCAGGAATCTACATTTTACGGAGCCCTCTGTTACCCTACATGATTTTGATGCAGGTGACCTGAGAACCATATTTTTATAAAACTCCTCTACTTCCTCCAATCTAAAGAAAATAATGCAAACATGCTTTCTCCTAATTAGTTGGCCTATTTCTTAGCTTATCTAGTCAAATCAGCCATTTCCACTGACGTGTCATGAGACCCTTTTTATTTTTCCATCTCTCAATCTTTCTTATCTCTCTATAAGCAGATGACCAAATAATAGATCTGTTAATTCTGGAGCCTAGAGTTCTGAGACCTTAATCTCTTTTTTTTTTTTTTTTTTTCTGAGATAGAGTCTCACACTGTGACCCAGGCTGGAGTGCAGTGGTGCAATCTTTGCTCACTGCAACCTTCTCCTCCCAGGTTCAAGCAATTCCCCTGCCTCAGCCTCCCAAGTAGCTGGGATTACAGGCGTGTGTGACCACGCCCAGCTATTTTTTTTTAATTATTTTTTTATTTTTAGTAGAGATGGGGTTTCACCGTGTTGGCCATCATTCTGCCCTTTACTAGATTCAATCTTCTCGCTTTAGTACAAATTTCTGTTCACAATTTTTCTTCTCAGGATCTACACAAATTTACATAATCTGTGCCCTCCCTAAGTCATTTTCTAGCACTCTTGCTCCCCTTTGCTAAGATGACTATACTGGCCTTATTCTGTACATATTACATGTGAAGAGTTCTCAGGCAATTTATTCAAAAGGCCTTCCCATGCCCAAAGTGAAAATTCTCCCTTACGTGAAAGGCCGTATGAGGAAGTGGAAGGTGTTGGGTGTGCACTTATCATGACCATTAAGAACCGAGCCACAGAGTGGACCTGACAACGTGAGAATTCTAACTTTGCCGTGCAGTAGCCACAGCATCTTCAACAAGTTACTTAATCTTTTGGGGATCTCAATGTGATTATCCATGAAATGAAGATAATATCAGGACTATAACAAGAATTAAATGAAAACACGTGTAAATGTCAATTAGAATTACATTTAAAGTCAGACAGACTTAGATTTGAATTCTCCCTCTGCCACATGCTTGAAGTTAACCTCAGCAAGTCTCAGGTTATAAAATAAATATAAAATTGTCTACCTCATGGGGTGTGGTGGGGAGTGAGTGCAAATGCTAATGTTTAGAAAATTCCCAGAACATTTCCTAGCACATAGGAAATGCTTCATAAAAGTTAGTTATTATCCTCAGCTCCACTCCCAGAGGCCGGTTCAAAGAATCCACACTGCTAACAAGCCCAGATCACGTTAACTCATAGAACCCCTGATGTTCCAGGTACCTACAGTGAGTGTCTCAGAGAATGGGGCTCAATACAAGGGGGTAGGCTGAAGAGTCTTCATCTTCATCTCAAGGGCTGACTATGGGGGTCCCAGAAAAACTCTGCATACCCTAGAGTCACATTATAAGAAGTTTTTTCTTTTAAATTCAGGAAACTGCCCATAACGCGTTTCAGAAAAATGACCCGCAACCATGTCTGTCTCCGCTCTCGTGTTCCCACTGAGGTTGCAGATGCACAGTGCCTCTGTCCACCCCTCTGCATGTCGTTCTTTGGGCTGAGTCTGTTAGCTGTGGTCTCAGAATCCTTCTTAACATGGCATGCACGCTGAAACCTTATTTGCTCTCTCTTCAAGAAAAGATCCCTAAGCTGAGCTTAAACTTCATTCCATCACATACCCTGCTCCGAGCCTGTCATCTCAGAGCAGTGACTCTTGACTTCTTGTTGGCTTCACATTTATCATATTTGTAGCGATTTTATCACAGTTACTATTAACTTTGCATCAGCACAAAGGGCTCCACAGGCCCAGATGAACCAGAAGTATTTTGCCCCTTTATTTTCTTCAAACCTTTTGCTAAGAATAGCAACAAAACCAGAAAGCCCTGGAGCCTTCATCCTCATTTATTTCCATGCCTGGATATAATTTAAGGAGATGCACTAAAAATGTCAAAAGTGAACAAATTGAAAAGAGTGTTTCAATCCTCCAGGCATGAGACAAACTCTCCAGGAAACTAATCTTTAAAATATTTGGAACTGACCAAAGGTTAATTTTAAACCCTTAAGTGAAAAGTGATGGTTTTTGTCCTCATCTGCTGGGTACAATACTGCACACTGAGGTACAGTGGGAAGACAGTCCCTCTTTTCTGTTCCCACCACCCAAGGCACGGTCCCCCACAGCAGAGGCATCTCCGCTTCCTGTTTCCGCCATTTCAAGGGATGGCGCTCCCATCTCTTTAAGCTGCCGCTCTTCCAACTTGGCAGGGCTGATTAGGAAGACCCAGTTCCTGACCACCGATGCTTTGCTACGCTAGGCTGGAAAATGCCTCCCTCTGCCCTTGAGAAGGGGGTCTGAATGTTTTGCGGGACTGACACCGCAGCAACATGCCGGTGTGTTTCACGCTGCTGCCTCCTGTTTCCCTTGAAGCTTTCACCAGACCCTGGATTTCTTTTTCACTTCCTGTTCTGAGCCATCGCCGGGCACTCATTACCCACCAGCTGTGTCCCAGCTGCCGCATTCTACACTAGAGGTGGCGCCCTGCACCCGGCGGGTGAGTCATTCCCCTTCTGCCTGCTAGCACAGTGCATTAAACCTTCCGGGGTCTTTGTTTGGAAAGCAGCTCTATAAATGTCAAGTATTACTAACTGTGCAGGAGAGAGGTGGGAAAACCAAAGGGCTTGGGAAGACTGAAGAATTGAGTAAAACCTTGTTCGTTTGTTTACTTTTTTTTTTCTCCTGTTCTTTCCTTTCTTATCTGCCACTCTACTTTGGATTTCCAGGCTAGCCAAAGGATTGAAATGACCATCCCCATAAATATGTAAATTGACACAAATCTGCAAATACTAATCACTTTAAAATAAAACCGAGATCAGTAGTATTGCTCACATTCGTAGTAACTTTGGCACATAAAATAGAAATGTAGGTAAATCAGGCTTATTATCTTATCCATGAAAAGCTTTCAGTCTAATACAATGAAAGACAATATGCACAATAAGTGTGTGTCGAGATCAGGAAATAGTTCCGTTTCCTTGGAGACAGCAAAGTGTGCCAGGGCGTGGGTATCCCGTCTTGGTAGCTACTGCGGCTGTTTTTACAACCTTTTAACTCTGCTTGTTTTTTGTCTCACTCTTTTTGATATATCCTCTCATTAGAAGGCCGAGAGATCTTCCTTAGATGCCAGTCTTATCAGTCTTTTTCTTATTGCTTTTGTTAAAACCCTTAGAGACGACTGTGGAAAGAGCAAAGGCAACCCACTCAAGTGTAAGAGAAAATCTTCCTAAATTCATCCTTTCAATAGCTAAAAAATTACCCTACACACACTTTTTTTAAAAAGCTGTGATAACTTATCTACTATTGTTTTGAATGGCATGGTACAATGAAGATGTATATCCCAAGGTAGAAATTTTTCAAGAAACTATTTATATAATGACCCACTCTTAAATAAGATTTTTGACTTTGGGAAGAGATTTTGTTAGTGTACACATCTCCAAAGATCTATTGTCATTGATTAATATCCAGGATATCAAGCTTAGAAAATGTTATTTTCCTGATGTTTTGACTTTCTGAGGATGTAAATACTCAACACACCAAACCCAAGGCAGTATTAGCAAGTGGAAGCTTACAAAGTGAAAGACATCAAATGAGCACTTGATTATTTAGGTTATTTAGCTGAGTCTTACAACCCATTGGGGCTTTTTTCTCTCATTGAGTTAGGCAAAACTCTTTGGGGGTTCTTGCTGGATTCAAAGCCTACTGAATTATGAGCAGGCCCAGGCTTCTCTCAAAGGGAAAACTGTCCGGTAAACTAAGAGTTATTTCCCTTATACTAATTTCAAAAGTATTTTCAAAACTGATTCCAATAAATGCCATACTCTGAGGTACGATTCATAGTTGAATAAGAACTTATATTACATAGGCTTATCATATTAGTTTCCTACTGCTGATGTAACAAATTACACAAATGTAGTGGCTTAACACAGCACTAATTTACTATCTAACAGTTACAGAGGTCAGTTTCAAAATAGGTCTCACTGGGCTAAAATTAAAGTGTCAGCAGAGCTGTGTCCCTTTTGGAGGCTCTTGGGGATAATCTGTTTCCTTGACTTTCCCAGTTTTAAGAAGCTGTCTGTATTCCTTGGCTTGTGGCCCCTTCCTCCATCCTCAAAATTAGCAATTTTGGGTGCAGTCATTTTTCCATGCTGCCATCTCTCTGGGCCTTTTTTCTGATTTCCTCTTTCACTTTAGGTATCCTTGTGATTACACTGGGTCTACTGGGATAATTCAGGATAATCTTTCTATGTTAAGGTCAGCAAAATAGCACTCTTAATTCCACCTGCAACCTTAAATCCTCTTTGTCATAGAAGGGAACATATTCAATATACACCGAAAAGGATTTTTCTTAAAAAAGAAAGAGGCTTTATTTCATCAAGCAGTTTGCTTATGAGGAGATGCAGCCTTCCACATAAAACCAAAGTGTGTTCTGAGAGAATAAAAAGAGGGGTTGAATTTTACAGAGAAAGTTCCCACCCAGGTTTCCACTCTGGTCCACCATGCAAATGAGGGATGCAAGCTTGTTTAGTTCAGATTGGTTGAAGCTTGTTTTGTTCTGATTGGTCGAAGCAGGTCACAGTCTATTATTTAGGTCCAAGTGATGAGATGGGGCTTTCTGGCTGCCATTGATTGAGGTGGCATAAACAGGAACAGACAGGTATAAAAGTCCCAAAGTTACAAGAGCATGTGGTTTCTTCAGGAGCCAGAGTATGTGGGTGACCTCTAGTCAGCAATTGGCTGCTTGGCTCCATTTTAAATTCAGGCCCAGCTAGCCACTCAGGATCCATCTTGAGGGGTTGGCTCTTTCAGCTTCGCACACTGGGCCTACTGGTATGACCCAAGATAATTTTCTTATATGAAGGTCAACTACAGCAGTCTTAATTCTACCTGCAGTCCTTTGTCATGTAAGGGAACACATTCCTAGGTTCCAGGCATTGAGATGTAGACTGCTTTGGGGCCAATATTCTGCCTCTTATATGTAGTAATAGACATTCGAGGTTTTAAGTCAACCAGTTGGTGGGGGAAAGTGAATATTTAAGTGAAATTCAACAAAAAATGAAAATGAAGACTTGAGTGCTGTATGAAGTCTCAGATCCTATTCTGGGAGCTATGCTGTTGGATGTTTATGAGCAAGCACCTACTCAGTATCAGACACTATCAAATCTGCAAGTATTAAAAAACAAATAAGAAAATCCCCATCTGCCCTCTGGTAGCTTACCACTGGGAGAGAAAGACAAGCACATTCACAGCATAAGAAGCAGACACTGACTGCTATGGTGCAGAGAAAAAACTGCTTCATCCTGGAGATGACATTTGGAAAGACTAAAACAATCAAGACCGCCCCCCGCCCCCGCCCCCCGCCCCCACAGGCTTGCCGCCACAAAGATATGATAGTCTTAAACAACTAAAATGAATTTTCCTCATATTGACACATTTAAACACTGACAAGACCCTCTGACCACATTCCTATGGCTTCTCCTAGAGCCTAGGAAGGGGCCAGTGTGAGAACACTGAAGTGTAAGGTTCACTTGTTTCTTCTTTGACAGTTAGACTTTGTTCTGCTGATTAGATCAACTCCCACAAACGTCTTCATCCCTTGAACAGAGTGTCTCACATAAAGCAAGCTATATTTTTGTTTCTCTCATAAGCCTGAGATGCAGGGACTTTCAGGGTTAACACAAATCATGGGTTTCCCTAAATATGTTTATACCGTTAAGGTCAATTTCAAAAGACTACCATAGGCAGCCTGACAAGAGAAAAGAAGTTAGAAGATGACAGCCTGGAGCTTGAGGTTGGGAGAATGGAAGTCTAAAAGCAATCCTCATCTTGCAGTCCACTTTGTGACTCTATACCTCAGATCTTGTTTTGGATATCATGTCATAGGCTGTTAATTTCCCCCCAGAATCCATTGTCCTGACCTTTTTATAATAGAAGCTTCGTCCTATAAACAACATGTGACTTTTATCAGAGCACTTGACTTTCAGGCTGAACTAACATTTCACAGCCTCCCTTGCAGCTAGAAGTATGATTGAGTTCTTGCCAATGGAACGTGAGCAGAAGTGACGTGTCTAATTTTAATGTAATTTCCTTTAAAGATACTACTTGTTGTCCACTTTTTCTCCTTTTCATTTCCTTTTGGTGAAGAAATGAAGAGAATCAGACTACCCACCTTGGATTCTGATATGAAAGATTTAGGATAAAAGAGCTACTCCATCAGCCTGGAAAGATGACTCACTGGCAAACTCTTAGATAAAGGTGAGAGAGAAAAATAAACTATTTTATTTAGTCCACTGAATTTTGAAGGCTGTTTGTTACAGCTACTTAGACTGACACTTAACATGGTAAAATAAGTAGTTAAAGGATCATCTTCATTCAGGGAAATGTTATTCCTCCAACAATGAATACATTATTGCCCAGACACTTTCTGAAAAATGACCCACAACCCAGGTTGAAATCATCCAGAAAGTTCTCTTGTGTCTCTGTGCTCTGGCCTGGCCTTTGTAGTCCCTAACTACAGAAAGTAGCTGCCCTTTGAGCAGCATCCTTTGAATGTGAAGAAAATATGAGCATGATTATTTCATTTCTGTTGTGTCCTCTTTGCAAATATGTAAGACTGAGTGCTTTGCCTGTGAAATTCTCATAGTGGGGACCTCTGCGCTTTTCTCCTGCTCACCTGCTTTTTCATTCAAACCTGTAGTGGGAGGAAACCTGTCAGCGTGTGTGGGTGACAAGAGTGAGTGAGAACTGGATGTATGGTCTGAGGTTACAGGAAAAGGTTGTTTATGTAGCCCCATTGGTACTCAGGAGATTGCAAAATGAAGCATTAAATTCAAATTTTCTGACTCACTATCCCCTTGAGAGAAGGACTTCAGAAAACACAGGTGTGCGGTCTACTGAGATGGAGGTTTCCTTTACAGTGGATTTCTGTGGAAATAAACTTTGACATTCTATCCCAGGGGTTACCTCTCAGAGAGACCCCTCGGGTGATGTGTATTTTGGAAACCTCAACAGGAATTTGTATTTAGGCGAGATTCACCTTTGGTAATGTCACTCACTCCTGATTTTCCTCCTCCCTCCCTGGACGGTGCTTCCTGCCCCCCACCCCCCCACCTTTTTTTTTTCCTCTGGCTCCTTCTTTTTTTCTGACTCCTAAGTGGTGACTGCTCCTGGATTAGCCCTGGGCTACGTTCTCTTAACTATAAACTTGTCCCATGGGTGTAAATATCATCTAGGTTCCAGTGACTTCCAAATTTTCACCCCTGATGTCCTCCTGGAACCCTGCACTTAGACATGGCAAGTGCTTATGTGGCTTTATGCTTGTCTGAGATCTAGAACTTACCATGAAAAAACACAAAGGAAAACGGCACAAAGACTTCTGCCCCTTCCCCAACCTGCTCCACATCCCATGTGTTAATGAAGGAAATTCCAGGTAAGGTAAAGATGTAAAAACCCCCCAAATATATGATGGCTGTAACACAATCACACACAATAAAAGTGTATTTCTCACTCATTTCAAATTGAAAATGGGTATCCCTGATCAGCTGGGGCTCTTCTCCCTGTGGCGTTTCAGGGACCTGAGTTCTATAGCTGTTGTTCTACCATCTTGAACATATCGTTTCCAAGATCACCATTCCTGTCCCAATTAGTGCTCAAGAGAACACGGAGGATCATCCATGGGAGTGTCCCATGGACAGTTTTAGAGGTGACTCACTTTTTTATTACATTTTACAGCTAAACTTCACACCAAACTGCAAGAGAGTCTAAGAATGAAGAGAAAACTGCTTTGGCAAGCAACTACCTAGTCTCTGACACAGTCCACCTTTTTGGTCAGCCAATATCCAGCTCCGCCTTGTCTTCTTACACAAAGCCCAGGCAAAGCCCAGGATTGCTAACTGTTGTACAAACCTGTTGGTCAGGCCTAGATGGAAGCTTTCAACCCCATTTCAAGTCAGCTGGCTTATCCAACCCTGAAAGGTCTGTGATCTCTCAGTTCTTTTTATAAACAGGCCTCTGCTTGCAAATGGCCAATTCTTGCCTGAGCTCATCTCTTTCTTGTAATACTTTATGAAAGGCAGCCAGTAGTAACTAATGCATAAATTTTTCCAACCAACTGGCCCAAAGGTCAGTAGACCTTTTTACCAAATGTTTCGCAATGTATAGCATGAATCTCCATCTTTCTCCTCTCTGTTATCAGGTTCCTCAGTGCCCAACCATTATGTCAATGCCTTTTACCTTAATTTTTTTCTTATGGCAACATTTTCTTCTGGAATTATTTCTGTACTGTAGCAAATGCCCTAAACTGTGTAAAACAGTTTGAAGACACTATTTTTTTTTCTATTTTTATCATTTGTTCCTCGGTCTACTCAATACGCTCCCTGCTTAAAACTCCCCTAGTGATTTTCTGTTGGGTTTAAAATAGAGTCTAAACTCTTTACCATGGATTACAAGCTTCTCTGTTAACTGGTTGTAACCTGCATTTCCAGCCTCCTTTGGCGCCACTCTTGTCCCACCAACTATATCACATTTCCTTTGGAACATTTTCTGCTTCTTGAACTTGCCCAGGTCCTTGCTGTTAGCTGGTCCCTTTGCCTATGATGATCTTCCTTCTTAGCATCACTTGAACTGCAAAAAATAAAAAATGAAACAAAAAACAAACTCCTGTGTGTTATTTACATCTAGAGGTTTAAATGTAATCTCCTTAAATAGACTTTCTCTGACTTCATACACCCTATTTTAATTCTTTGCATAGCACTTATTACTATCTGATTTCTTCTTCTCTCTTTCTCCTTCCTTCTTTCTTTTTTCTGTCTTTCCATCCTACTTTCCTTCGTCCTTCCTTCTTTTCCCTCCCTCCCTTCCTTCCTCCCTCCCTTCCTTCCTTCCTTTCTTCCTTCCTTCCTTCTCTCTCCTATTAGGATAGAAGCTTCATGAGACCAAAAATCTGTTCAATGTTATTCCATGGCTGTTACATCAAAAAAATTAACAATGCCTAAGCCTTTGTAATTGTCTAATAAATATTTGTTAGGTGAGTGAATGAACTCATCTTCTCAAGGAATTTATAGTACTAAATTTTACAATGAATCCAAAAAAGTCTAAAACTGGAAGAAACTTTATTGATAATTAAATATATTCAAATCCCCAATTTCATAGATAAGTAATTGAGTAACAGAAGTTGCAAGTTCTGGGGATATCTGAAACATCATCTCTTCTACCTCTAAATTTTATGATTATAAATTGTGTGATCCAAGTATACAGCTAGTTTATCTTGGATACTAAGAATTACGATATTTTTATTCATTTGCAGTCAATGACTAAGTGACCTAGGTTACAATGGTCACTGTGTACCAGGTATTCTCTTTGCTCTAATGGGTCAGTCAATGCAATCAGAGATAAATTTATATATCACAATGGTAACTCTCAGAGAGTTTCCCTCAATAATTTGATTCTAAGGGGAGACAGATCTTTTCCTTGCTGTTGAACATTAAGCTTTGCAGCTAATAAACCAGAGGTAGACAAACTACAGCCCATGAACTCAACCTGCTCTACCGCCTGTGTTTGTCAATAAAGGTTTTTGTTTGTTGGTTGGTTTGTTTGTTTTGAGATGGAGTCGGCCAGGCTGGAGTGCAGTGGCATGATCTCGGCTCACTGAAACCTCCACCTCCTGGGTTCAAGCGATTCTCCTGCCTCAGCCTTCCAAGTAGCTAGGACTATAAGCTCCACCACCACAGCCAGCTAATTTTTGTATTTTTTGTAGAGATGGGGTTTCACCATGTTGGCCAGGATGGTCGCGATCTCTTGACCTTGTGATCTGCCCGCCTCGGCCTCTCAAAGTGCTGGGATTACAGGCATGAGCCACCATCCCAGTCCGTCAATAAAGTT
Source organism: Homo sapiens (assembly GCF_000001405.40). Taxonomy (NCBI): domain Eukaryota; kingdom Metazoa; phylum Chordata; class Mammalia; order Primates; family Hominidae; genus Homo; species Homo sapiens. The sequence goes on along the minus strand of NC_000015.10, from coordinate 94,063,144 downwards.
TTAAGGAGCTCAATAATATCCATTTATGTGTCATCTATGGCTGCTTTTATACTACAATGACAGAGTCAAGTAGTTGCGTCAGAGAAGGAATATCACTTGAAGCCTAAAATATTTACTATCTGGCCCTTTACAATGAAGCCTGTCAACTCCTGTAGTAAGCTATTTTCTCTGCAACCTCTCCTTCCACCCCCTATCCCACAAAACACCTTCTTCAGTTTATTAAAATGTAGGACTTTCTCATTGAGAAAACTTTAAAATACATACTACCTAAGTAGAGCAAGTGTGCTTCCTTAATAAACTGTAACAAAATTTTAGAATTTAATTGTATCTAAGGCAAAGTATTCTACTCTTTCTTTGAAGGAGGTTTCTGGCATGTAAAAGTGTCTCTCAAGAGATCAATAAAATAATATTCAGAAAAGTAGAGATTCAATGATAGATCATGAGTAACAGTCTAAAGGTTGTCTTTCATATTCATACTTCATTTTTTCTTTAGTAATAGAAGTTTTGGGTTTTAGCTAGTCAGGTAGACACCTGCTGAAATTGCATTTTTCCAACCTCTTTTGAAGCTTAGTTTGGCCACATCCTTACGTTGTAGCCACGGAAGCGCATACAGGGGGGATGTGAACAATTTCTGGGCCTGTTTTCACCTTTCCCTTTCTACTTCTCACTGACAGGAATGCATGTACCATCGTGGAATCTGGGCCAGTCACCTCAAACTATGAGAGCAAAGCTACATATCAGGTTGACAGAACAAGAGAAAGTGTGGGGAGCCCACCTCTGTGGAGTTGTCATGTTGGTTAAAACTGTTGACTCTTAGACTAACAGGGTGAATTAGTTCATTCTCACATTGCTATAAAGAAGTATCTGAGACCAGGTAATTTGTAAAGACAAAAGGTTTAATTGGCTCACGGCTCCTCAGGTTGTACAGGAAGCATGGTGGCTGCTGGAGAGACCTCAGGAAGCTTTCAATCATGGTGGAAGGTGAAGGAGAGGCAGACATGTCTTACATGGCCAGAGCAGGAAGAAGAGGGGCAGGGGAGATGCTACACACTTTTAAATGACCAGTTCTCACAAAAACTCCCCCACTATATGGTACCAAGGGGAGGGGGTGCCAAACCATTAGAAACTGCCCCATCGTCCAATCACCTCCCACAAGGCCCCACCTCCAACACTGGGGATTACAATTCTGCCTGAGATCTGGACAGGTTCACAGATCTAAACCATATCTTAGAATGACAGGAAATTATTAAGCCGCTGCTTTTTATTTTCCACTCTTTTTTCCCATACATGAATCTATATGCTATCACCGATAATAATGATAATATTAAAAATTCTCATTCACTTATAAAACACTGAATAGTGTATAAAATACTCCATAGTGAATTTAAGCATCTTACACATTTTACAGGAAGAAACCTGAATTTAGAGAGGAAAGTGCCCAGAGCACTACGTGATCTGGATAGAACTTGGGATTGATTCCAAAGCAGAGCATGGGACAGATGTGCTGCAATCCTAAACCAAAGACAACGAGACAATGAAGATACAGGCAATTTGGCAACTTTTGGGATTTTGATTTTATTTTTGGTCACTGGTCATTTCATAAGCATTCCCAACATCTCACTTTTGAATTGAAGAAACGGAGGCTAGCAGCAACTGACTTACTAAGGAGATGCATTCACTCAGCAGGTGTGAGTGAGATTTATTATACATTTAATTTTTGTCTACTCCTAAGATTATAATCTTTGCATTCAGTCCTGGCACTCTCACGTTGTCAGTCTTCTATGTCAATACCCTGGAAAGTGTTTTCAAAACTTTCTCGGTTTTTCTTCCTGAGAAAGTTCAAAGTCAGTTACCTCAGGGTTCTCCGGGTCAGAGGTTGATGTGGCCACTCTGACTCAGCCCCTGTGTCTTTGGATTACACAGTCATCAAGCCATGATGCCTTTTATTAGGAATTCATTCTGACTAACCTGATTCTTAAAGAGAGAAACACCATAATCCCACATAAATATGGAAATTATAGTAATTAATCAAAGATGTGAGGTAGATTTTGTTAATCTTATTTTCCAGAATGGGAAAGACAGGAGAAGAGAGGACAAGAAACTTTCTCAAGTTTACAAAGGAAGCCCCTAGTCAGAGCCCCTGTTCAGATCAAAGTCAGTATGCTTCTGGTGATAGATTGCTACTTTAGTGGAACCCAGTGAACCACATCTTCTGATATCCACATTCCTGTGTAGTTTCCTTCTGCATTGGCTCAGGGCGTGGTCATACTATTAGCTTTGTGTAATGTTAATTGTCTTAGTCCATTTAGTACCTGAGGCTGGGTAATTTATAAAGGAAAGAGGTTTATTTGGCTCATGGCTCTGCAGGCTTCCTAAGAAGGATGGGGCCAGCATCTGCTTCCAGTGAGGGCTTCAGGAAACTTCCAGTAATGGTGGAAGTTGAGCAGGAGCCAGCATGTGCAGAGATTTTATAGCAAAGAGGAAGCAAGAGAGAGCGTTGGGAGGTGCCAGGCTCTTTTTAACAACTGGCTCTTGTGAAAATTAAAAGAGTGAGAACTCACTCACTACCTCCAGGATGACACGAAACCATTCATGAAGGATCTGTCTCCGTGAGTCAATCACCTCCCATGAGGCTCCTACCTCCAACACTGAGATCAAATGTCAACATGAGGTTTGGAGGGACAAACACCCAAACTTTAGCACTAATATAAAGTAAGCTGGAGCTTGATAAGTGTTTGCACATTGTGTCATGTTTTTATGGATTGCTGGCTCTTGGAACAGTCTCTCTCTCTCAGAACCCAGCCACCGTGCTGAGAGAAGCCCACATTGCCATATTGAGAGGCTATTTGGGGGGAAATCTAGACACAGGGTGACAGCCCCAACAAAGCACCCAGGTGACAGCCAGCACTAACTTGCCACGTGCATGAGACATCTAAGGTGGATCTCCTGGCCACAATCAAGCTGTCCCATCTGATACCACAAGAGGCACTTTTCATGGCAAAAACTCCAATTACATTTGCACCAACCTAATAGTATCTTATGTACCATTTACAAAGGTATGCTTTGTAGAACTGATCAGCTGACTAAGGTCTATAGTATATGCCGTGGGGACAAATTTATCTTTTTAAAGTTCAAGCTGTATGCGTTCCTAGACTTTGTGATCAGGTCATATAAACACCATCCACTGATAACTAAGGCAAAAGATGCATAAGTTATTCCAGAAACAGAGAGAAACCAGTATTGCCAGTGAAACTTTTGGCTTCCTCATTGCGTACCATGACCCACTGAAACTTCAGAGCTGGAAAATATGAAAGTAAAATTGGTGACATCTCTTAAAAAGCATTTTTTTCCCCTCAATTACTCCTACCCTGTCAATTCCATTATGGCATGATTCAGCTCTCACAATTTGCAAATTATTTTCTCATTCTCACTGCAGTGCTGCTGATAGATGAACACTTTGGGAACGAAATCCTGGAAGAAGTTTGAGATTCATGAAGGGGATAAAGATGTTGCTGGGTAACAGTGTAGCTTTTGTGGACAGAGATGCTGGGGTGTCTCAGAAAGGAGTAGGAAGTCATTGGTGATAGTGTGGGGAAATTTTGTAATTCCCTTTGCAAAGAGCCCCTTCGCTTTTTAAATTCCTTGTATTTAGAGAAGTGCCCTCTCCCTTTACCAGAGAAGTTTAGGAAGGAAATGCAGCAAAGTAAAAATAGTCAATGCATACCTCACAGTGTGAAATGCAAGGTAATGATTGACATATGACAGCACTCACATGTCAGCTTCCCCTCTGTGATATTGACTTGCAACCTGTGAAGGAGACCTTACTTAAGATGCTCATGGATCAGAGTACAAAGAAAAAAAAATGTGTGTGATATTGTCTTTGAAGAGGGGAACTTTAGTTCAACTTCTGTGGCAGGCAAGAAGAAAGCAGGAAGTCAAACATTAAATGTTGAAACATTGATGACAGTCTGGGGTGAGCCTAAAAAATGCAGCACATCTGGAGAGCTTATTCAGACTATTAGCTGGTTTGTCGGATTCCTCCTCATCGATTTCTTACCACTTTATGAGCAGGTTTGAATCAAAGAGGCTCTACCTTTATTAGGTTAAACCTAGGCACATCTTGTTTGTTTGCAAGTGTTGACTGTTTTATTCTGGGTTTGGGGGTGAATTCGATATCTTACTGGAAAGTTTGTGCTGAAATTTGCTGAGGGCATTTGAGACCCAGAGTGAGGAAGGCACATGGATACTGTTTCTCCTACAGAGGCTTTGGAGGAGACTTCTGATTCTTGTGCCAAATAGTCCGGTGTGTCATTGACTGATTTGGGAAGAAACATTGAAAGGATATTTCCCAGTGTTTTGGAAGACCCAAGAATTTGAGACCAACCTGGGCAACATAATGAGATTCCATCTCTACAAAAAATAAAAAACAAAAGTTCACTAGGTGTAGTGCCACATGCCTATAGTCTCAGCTACTTGGCAGCTAAGGTGGAGCATCGTTTGAACCAGGAGTTTAAAGCTGCAGTGAGCCATGATCGCACCACTGCACTCCAGCCTGAGTGACAGAGCAAGACGCGGTCTCTTAAAAACAAAAACAAAAGAATACCACTAGTTACTGAATTCAAATAGGGTCACAGAAAGATGAATTCAGCATAGTGTAACACATCCTTGGAGGGAGAAGTGATGTGGCAGTTTCTTGGGCTACTACTTTTTTCAACTTGCAAGAAAGCAGCTTACAAATTGTAATTCAATCTAAAATACAGAATTCTGAGCCTTTGCCAGTTCATATTGGATTAATATTTCATTGCAGTAAATTGCAAAGTAAATCGAACTCAATTTAATATGTATTTATTGAGTACCTACCAAGTACTTGGCACTAGCATCAGCTCAAGGAATACATGGACGGATGTATCACAACCCCAAGATCAGAGGTTTATCTGGCTTTACATGTAAGTCCAGATGAGGCATGTTAACATTGAACTGGATTGTGACTCTACCTGCATTCACCAGACTGCATCTAGTGTAAAACTCCTTTCAACCATGTATTTCTGTGTAATCCCATGAGGTGGTTCACCTGAGCTTAGGATCAAGTCTATGCCCAGGCTTCAATGGCATCCTCCTGCCCACCGTTGCCCCTGCTGCAAAAGACTCTAGCACCTTCCTGATGCTGTCACTGCTATCCTCATGGGCAGCACCACCAATGCCCCACACCTCAGCATGCCAGTGTGTCCCACGCACTGTGGCCAAGTAGAAGAAAAGCAGGAGAATGGCTCCCCTTGTGTTTAGAGAGGGTTCTAAGTAGGACAATTTATGCCTCAACAATTAAATAAAACATCATTATCAGGTTTTACTTTTTGCACTGCTCCATCATCCTCTTACTACCATTCTCTCCCATTCCATGATCCAATATGGATCCTCAAGGCCAGACTAATGACGTATTAATCTACCAGAAATCACATTGTATTCAGAATCACTAATTCCCTCCAGCAACTCAGGTCTGAAGCTGATCCCTTCCTGCCAAGCTGCTTCTTCCCTTTGAAAGGGTTGCCCTCAATGTTTCTCTATCCCAGTTCTTGAATGAATGTATTCCTGGCAGATCCACTGACCAGACTTTCAGATATGCTTAGACATGGGTAAATTGCCTAGGCATGTTTGAATTGCTCATACACAGTAATGTGTACTTTATTTGAGTCCTGCATGGAGTCTTACATAGCAGGACTCTTTCTAGCACCTACTTCTCTACGAGCCCTGCCCCCCTTGTCAGATATCATTTCTCAGTGCTTGTCCACATGCCTCTTACCTTCTGTCCAATTCTGTGGAGTTATGGAGGTGCCTGTTTGTACTGTGTACTGTCTTACCTCTGTATATTTGCACATGATGCTTTCCTTGATCACATGTCTTCTCCTTCTCTACCTGATAAGCACTTGCTTATTCATATAGACTCTTCTGAAATTCTTCTTACTCTCTCACACTTGTTTCATCAGAGACCATCTGATTTTTGCTTTTACAGTAACTTGTGCCCACATTTAGGTATCACTGAGGCCATTATAGTCTAAGTGTAATTTTACTTGCTTATACTCTTCTTTGAATTCTGAACTCCTCAAGGGAAAAAAAAAAACAACACCTGTCTTATTGTTTTATTCCCAATGCCTGGCACAGAAGTCGACACAATGAAAATGTGGTCAATAGTTGTCAAATAGATTTCAACATAGATGTTCATGTTTAGATCAAAAAACAGTAACTATAAATGTCACCCAGAATCATTAGTGATATATGTTGAAAGAAATTATCCCTCTCTCCTCTGGGAGCTGCATGAATGAACATGAATGTGGAAATGCATGCTTGGACTTTTTATTTTAACTCAGAGGCCAATATCCAGAATCAGGGGCTTTATCCTAACACCCTCAAGGATGGCAGGGCAAAAGTTGAACGTAGGTATCTGCCTTTTTAGACTATCTCCTCTTTGAAGCTCTATAAAAACTATGCAAATCCCTTTTAGCAAATTATATTTTACTGTTAGCCACTTTGTGTAAATAAACTCAGAATAGAAGCAGACATGGTATGTTGAAATAATCATAAGAAACTTCATTGAAACCTCTTGGAGAAATGACCACAACTGGTGAAAAAACAAATAAAACCAACCACAAAAATGGTAAGTCAAAACAGAACAGACTAAAACAAGACAAACTGAAAGCAAAGCTTTAATGGCATTTTCACAGGAACTAAGGTCTCATTTATAATAATGTCAAATTGCAATGGCTGTTGGGATTCCCCTTTTCTGATGGTGGGCATCAGAGGTTCTGGGAAACTCATTTCTCCAAGATTCAGTCTAGAAAGAGTGGTGCTATCTTCAGTCTGGTTGGTGTTGGAAGTCAAATTTCCAAACCTAAAGTCCCAAATACATTGACACTCACAGCTCTTAACAAAGGCTGGCTGTGCATTTTTACATTTTTCTACACAATCCTCCTGTCTTCAAATGGTGTTATTTGTATCAGTCAAATATATATTCTCAAATCCTGGGTGATGCAATTTTGCTCGAGTTCTTTATAGAATTCATTATATCATATGCCCTTTAAAAGAAAAATAAAGCACATCGGTTGCTCATTTTGTTGCTGAACTTCAGTGGGAATAAGACAATTCTTTTTGATAAATGTGTGAATCATGATATCTGTTAATCCTAAAACATACTCTGCAAAAAAATGACATTCTGTATCTATGTAAAGAAATAGTGTCACATAAAGGATTACTTTATTTTTAACTTTTTATTATGGAAACTTTCCAACATACATAAGAGAAGACATAGTAGTAAAAATAAATTTGCATATAACCATCAGCCAGCCTCAAGAGGTATCAACTCATAACCAATCTAGTTTCATCTCTATCCCTGCTTACGATTGCCTTCACACAGACATTCTTTTGAAGCAAATCTAAGACATACATTTCATGCATAAATATATTGATAAGTATAAATAATTACTTTAAATATTATGAATTCAATTTTTTTTCAGTTCACCCAGACTTAAAAGAGAGGGAAAAGTTTTGGTCCAAATTACTTGAGTTAACTTGTCTACTTCCTGGCAATAATGTAGGAAGTCTATTCCTATTTCAATTGATGTTTTCACTCCATTTGATGTATCAACCAATATAAAAAAAGAGTTCTATAATGAATAACAAACCTTATGTAATGCCTTAGTTTTCTTCTTGTTGCTATAAAGGAATACCTGATGCTAGATAATTTATAAAGAAAAGAGGTTTATTTGGCCATGGTTCTTCAGGCTGTGCAGGAAGTGTGGCACCAGTATTTGCTTCTGGTGAGGGCCACGGGAAGCTTCCACTAATGGTGCAATGCAAAGTGGAGCCTGCATGTACAGAGATCACACGGCAAGAGAGAAAGCAAGAGAGAGAGAGAGAAGGGGGAGATGTCAGGTTCTTTTAACAACCAGTTCTCCTGGAAATTGCATTAGTCTGTTCTCATGCTTCTAATAAAGACATACCCAAGTCTGGGTAATTTATTAAGAAAAAGATGTTTAATGGACTCACAGTTCCACATGACTGGGGAGGCTTCACAGTCATGGTGGGAGGCCAAAGGCACTACTTACATGGCAGCAGACAAGAGAGAATGAGAGTCAAGCAAAAGGGAAAACCCCTTATAAAACCATCAGATCTCATGAGATTTATTCACTACCACGAGAACAGTATAGGGGAAACCCTCCCATGATTCAATTATTTCCCACTGAGTCCCTTCTACAACATGTGGGAATTACGGGAGCTACAATTCAAGATGAGATTTGGGTGGGTACACAGCCAAACCATATCAGGAACTAATGGAGCAAGAACTCACTCACTCTCTCCTCCCCAGGGAGGGTATTAATCTATTCATGAAAGATCCTCCCCCATGTCCCAAACATCCAAGCATTCTCCCCTGGCCCCCCAAATCTCATGTTCTTCTCACATTACAAAATACAATCATTCCTTCCTAATAGTTCCTAAAATTCTTAACTTGTTCTAGCATCAACCTAAAAGTCCAAAGTCCAATGTCTCATCTAAGACTCGAGGCAAATTTCTTATGGCTCTGAGCCTGTAAAATCAAAAACAAGTTATTTACTTTCAAGATACAACGGTTGCAGAAGTATTGAGTAAACATTTCCATTTCAACTTTAGGTGAGTTTTTTTGCTGCTGTATCTAATTAGCTGTTAAAAGCAGCCACACTGCTTCTTGATGACTTTGCTGTTTAAAAATTTTTTCTGCCATATAGCCTACGTCACCTCTCTTACTTCAGCCTTCCATAGAGCCCTAGGTTATGAACACAATGCAGCCAAGTTTTTTGCTATGATGTAACAATGTTCACCTCTGCTCCAGTTTCCAATAAGTTCCTTATTTCCATCTAAAACCTCATCAGCATGGCCTTTACTATCTCTGTTTCTATCAGCATTTTGGTCACAACCAACCACTTAACCAGTTTCTAAAAAGTTCCAAACTTTCCCTCATCTTTCTGTCTTCTTCTGAACCCTCCAAACTCTTCCAAACTCTGCTTCCACATTTTCAGGTATCTTTATAGCAACATCCCAATCCTCCATATAAATTTTCTGTCCTAGTCTGTTTATTGTTGTTATAAAGGAATTCCTGAGGCTGGGTAATTTGTAAAGGAAAGAGGTTTTTTAGCTCATGGCTCTGCAGGCTCTGCAAAAAGTATGGCACTAGCATCTACTTCTGATGAGGACCTCAGGAAGCTTTCATGCATGATGGAAGGTGAAAGGCAGCCAGTGTGTATAGAGATCACATGGCAAGAGAGGAAGCATGAGACAAGGGAGGGAGGTACCAGATTCTTTTTAACAACCAGCTCCCATGGGAACTAATAGAGTGAGAACTCACTCACTTCCTCCTACCCCAAGGGAGGACATTAATCTATTCATGAAGGATCCAGTCCCATGATTCAAACACCCCCATTAGGCCCCTACCTCCAACATTGAGATTAAATTTCAACATGATATTTGGAGGGGTCAAATATTCAAACCATAGCAGGTAACATGATAAATACTGAGTGACCTTTGATTATTCCTGTTTAACCTTTGCTATATTAGTATTTTTGGTTTGTCTCTTGATTAATACATTAATTCAATTATTCATAAATAATACACTGAGAACCTACTATGAACCATGCACCAATCCTAAGTTCTGGAAATACAGAGATTTATTAGGCCTTTTGCACTCCATGAATTTAGAGACTTGTGAAATAAATAGACAAAAAGCTAACTACAATGCAGTATGAGGATGACTTGGCTACCAGTGCTAAAGACAACCCTCTTAGTACTGTAAGTTCCATTGTCTTCCTTATTTGCCTCCTTGAGTTAGTAAGATTTTTTTATGAGTCAATGGGAAGATGCATTTGACAGCTATCTCCCTGGTGTTCCTGGCATTGCCCCTGATTTTCTAGCAGGTAGTTAGACTTTCTGCGGATTTCATGAAACAAGAAAATTACTCATTCCTCATGTTAGCAATGCCAAACGGTATATCATTCCTAGGCTCCTATGAATTTCTCAGCACCTGATATGAGTCCTCAACCTATTTCTGATAGGACAACTTGTCTTTCTTCTTTCTTTTTTGGAAGTGGCACAGCTTAGTCTCAAGATAAAGCAAGCCTCCTGGAGAAAATCCAGGACAGCTTCATTACCCCCAGTGGAGTGAAGAACAGGCATTGTGTTCGTATGGCCTAGTCTTTCCAATCTTCACGGGAGGGGGAAACAGAGTGCTCACATGCTATTGGTTTAGGCTGTAGTCAAAGGGCAATTGTTTTCTTCCAGAAGAGACATCTGAGACTATTTTGAGGAAAAGAAGAGAATCTTGCTGGGATTTTGAAAAGAACAGCAGAAACCTTTCAGAGAAACTTGGTAGAGCCTAAGAGGAGAAGAGAGGAGGGTCCACAGGGATGGGAGGCCAGATTCAGCTACCAGCCTCACCTCAGGGGACAGGGCTTTGAGAGAACAACTATTCTCTGAAACACTGCTGAAGTACCTCCAGGGGCTGGACTAGACCAGAGATTCTCACTAACTTCTTTAAACTTTTGTTAAATTTTAAAAACATAAAAAATACAAAAAGTACAGGGCACTATATAGCAATATCCATAGGCCCATCATCCAGAATAAGTGAAATAACAACTGAACAAAATAACAGCTTGTCATATTTGCCTCATAGATATGTTTGTTTCGAAAACATATAGCTTATATACAATGCCTAAGATTTGTATAATACAGATGAAATCCTATAGATGACGTTATCCATTCCTCTATTGATAGGCACTTTAAAATTGTAAAAAACACCACCATAATTATCAATATCTTATATATCACTGTGTGCACACTGTAAGAGTTATCAAGGTGTGTGTGGGGTGTCTGTGTATGTGTGTGTGATGCGTATGCATGTGTGTGTGGTGTGTGTGTATGTGTATGTGTGTGTGGCGTGTATCTCTGTGTGAGTGCATGTGTGTGTGGGGGTGTCTGTGTATGTGTGTGTGGTGTGTATGTATGTGTGTGGTGTATGTGTGTACATGTATGTGTGTGTGGTGTGTGGTGTGTGTGTGTATGTATGTGTATGTGTGTGTGGTGTGTATCTCTGTGTGAGTGTATGTGTGTGTGGGGAGTCTGTGTATGTATGTGTGGTGTGTAGGTATACGTGTGTGTGCGTTGTGTGTGTTTCTGTATGTGTGTGTGGTGTGTATGTATATATGTGTGTATGTGTATCTGTGTGTGCTGTGTGTCTCTGTGTGTGAGTGTATGTGTGTGTGGGGTGTCTGTGTGTGGTGTATGTATATGTTTGTGTGTGGTGTGTATGTGTGTGGTGTTTGTGCATCTGTGTGTGAGTGTGTTTGGGGGGAGTCTGTGTGTGTGTGGTGTATGTACATGTTTGCATGTGGTGTGTGTGTGTGGTGTATGTATCCGTGTGTGAGTGTGTTTGGTGGTATTTGTGTATGTGTGTGTGATGTGTATGTATGTGTGTGTGGTGTACCTGTGTGTATGTGTATGTGTGTGTGGTGTGTGTGTATCTGTGTGTGTGGTGTGTATGTCTGTGTGGTATGTTTGTATATGTGTGTGTGGTGTGTGAGTATGTGTGTATATGTGTGTGTGTGTGTGTGTGTATGGGTCTGTGAGTGTATGTGTGTGGGGGGGTCTGTGTGTGTGTGGTGTGTATATATGTGTGGTGTGTGTGTGTATGAGTGTGTATATGTGTGTGTGTGCTGTGTGTGTATCTGTATGAGAGTGTGTGTGTGTGTGTGTATGTATTTGGGGAAGAGGGTAGGTGGGTATCTACCTGCTTTCTCACTATCCTGGATATTCAGCGGGCTCTTTCAGACTGAAAAAGCAGTATTTTAGTTCTGAGAATTTTTCCTTTATTTCCTTTGATAAATTATTTGATAATTTCTTTCCTTCCATTTTACATGTTCTCTTTTTCTGAAAATACTGTAAGTCAGAGAGTGAATATTCTAAAGTAATTCTCTAAAAACTTTCCACTACTCCTTTTTTTTTTTTTTGAGATGGAGTCTGGCTCTGTCACCCAGGCTGGAGTGAAATGGTGCGATCTCAGCTCACTGCAACCTCTGCCTCCCGGGTTCAAGCAATTCTCTGCCTCAGCCTCCTGAGTAGCTGGGATTACAGGTGCATGCCACCACGCCCAGCTGATTTTTGTATTTTTAGCAGAGACAGGGTTTCACCATCTTGGCCAGGCTGGACTTGAACTCCTGACCTCATGATCCACCCGCCTCGGCCTCCCAAAGTGCTGAGATTACAGGGGTGAGCCACCATGCCTGGCCTCCTTTTCTATTGTGAAATCTTTGCCTTTTTCTTAGACTTCTTATTAATTTTCTCTACTTTATTTCCAAACATTGTATTAAATCTTATAATTTTCATTTCCATATTTTCATTCTTGTTTGTTGAGAATTCCTTGAAAAATTATTTTCTTGATTCAAGCAATTTTCTCTTATCTCCCTGATCATATGTGTGGGAGTGCACGTATTTAATTTTTCATGCCATACATTGCCTTGTTCCTTCTGAGTTCTTTCTCTGTTTTTTGTTTGTGTTTTGTTTTTGTTTTGTTTTGGGTTTTTGTTTTTTTTTTTGCCTTTTGATTTATTTCAGGGATTTCCACAAACAACAAGTGATCCACTATTCATTCCTAAATAAGAAGTGACACTAACATGTTGAGTGTAAGCCGCGTCCATGGGAGGATTTGTGAAATGGTAAACTGAATTGGAGGCAAATTGAGCAGAGATCCAGAAGCTATTCTGGGGGCTGCCAGAATACTAATATCCCTAGGTCTTCTCTCTTGGATCACTCTACTTAGCCAATCTAGAATGTATCAGCATCTTCCCTTGGGGTTTTGAGCCTACACTTTGGAACTAAGTGGGAGAGGAGGATAAGGGGATTTATTGTTCCATAAATACATAATTGTTTACTGAATTCTCCTGTTTGTGATTTGAATGGCACTACCCCCTGCCCTCACCTGGGCATGGCATCTGGGCATACAGAGCTTTAAAAGGCTCTTTTTCTCAGAATAATCTTTATCTTTTGCTGTAGTTGAAGGAATGAGAGAAGAAAGGAGGAAACCTGGAATCTAGCTCCTTCTTGCAGAGAGTCTCAATTGACTTTTCTGCTTTTAAGATCCATTCCTTACTTTGCTTTCAGAGGTACACGGTGTCTCTAATTCCTAAGCTTTCTACATTCCATTTCATTGATCATTTTGCTTATTTTTAGAAGTCCTTTTTCCTTATAGCACTTAGGGTTCTTTATCTGTGGTCATCTCATTGTTTTTCCTTGTCCTTTTAGGTGGCTTTCTGCGTAGAAAAAGAACAGACGCATGGTAATAGTTACCATATTTAAACAAAAATCTTTTTGATACATTTTCAAATCTGCATGTTATTTTATTATCTTATTCCTTGTCATGTGTTGTTCTCAGGTGTAGTGTACACTATTCATTTCACTGCATCTTTCACATACTGATTTTTTAGTCACTTTTCTCGAAATGGCTGTATTCAGGCCAGTCAACTTGCTGCTCTCATGATAGTTTCCTTCTGTGCTTTGCGTACGCTTCATCTGTTGACTTCTGAGTCAATTCAATATGGGTACTGCTTTTTATAAGCAGATTTTGGGGGAATTAGTTTCAAGCTTGCTTCTTTTGGGGTCCTCCTTGTTTCTATGGTGGTCTCCAGTTTTTATATTTGTTTTTAGCTAAGAGTTTTCCCCACATTGTTAGAATTCCAGTTGCCTGCAGGGCCTCTACATTCACCTAAGCCTTGGTAGGTGGCTTAATTGCAGGGCATATGGCTGTTTGGAGAATGCAGATTTTGTGGACCGGACAACTTTTCCCAGATTCCAGGCTTTGTGCACAGAGTATGTTTTTAGCTCTCAGCCCCCTCTACTTCATCCAGCACAGGGTCTGGGGCTTTAACAGCCAGAAAGTCGACAAGGGCAATATACACCCAGACCCTAAGGCACACATGTGGACTCCTTGCCTCCTCAATCACTGGGCTTCAACTCCGACTTACTGCTTGAGGTATGAATTTGCTCTTCTATGGCATCTGGATAGTATCTTTCCTGTGCTTTCAAACTCGGATACTTTTTTCTCATATTTTATCTAGCATTTTTACATTGTGAAGGAGAAGAAGAACAAGAGGGAGACAGAACCCAGAGTCCTCATTTTATAGCTATTGAGCTGCTCAGTGTGTGTGCACGCATGGGTGTGTACATACACACACGATCTCTTTCCATGCTTTGAGGCATTTCACCCCAGGTGGCTCCTAAGCCTGAAGAAGCTTTAAGACAACTCACAGGTTTTTTAAGTGGGAGGGAGAAAGGACTCCCACTTCAGGGTCAAGTGATCACATCAAGGCACCCTGAGCACAAGAGAAAGTGGGCATGTCTATTACTAACACGAATAGAGGCTCACAGAAGTTCCCTTAACAAAATACCTTCCTCCTAGGCTATTCACACTTTGAAATCCCACTCAGACTGAGTCTTCTTTTATTTCTGAAGGCAGCTACTTTTAATCTGATGTCTCTCACTAGATAGACTTTAGGGGGTCCATCAAAGTCTTGAAATTTTATGCCAAACTCTATGGATATGGGATTTATTTCAGGTGAAATAATCTAGAGTGTTTATCTTCTGACAGTATACAAATAATCCTAGTGATGAAATATACTTAGGCTTATTTATCACGTTTATGCTTTGATTTTTCAAACATCTCAAGAGGGGTAGTGAGCTCCCAGGGACAGGAACAGGATCTGCTGTCTCTTTATCCCCATTCTTACACAGCATCTGGCACTGCTTCAATGAATGACAAGTATCTGTTGAATGAATGCATGAAAAGAAAAGTGGTAGAGTGATGGAGAGTGGCACTGCTTTGAAAGGGGAATGTTGGATGGAGTGGCCCAGAGAGGAAACTCGATGACTGGGATTTCAGAGATAAATCCATTGGTCTTTACAATATGTCACTTGGCTGAAAACAGTTAACCAATGAACAAAAGAAAATTAATTATTAAAATCCCTGACTGAGTAACTTTTCATAAATATTTCTAAAGCATAAACAATGACAAAACGTGCATGCTCTTATGCAGTAGAGGTAATAGAGATTAATACAGATCTAAATTGTGTGCTATTGAGCATCAGGGCAGGAAAAGAAGCCAGAGATATTCCACACATGGCCTCCTCTATTAACCCATTTAAAAATAATGGGGCAAAAAATTTGATCACAATTTTCAGATCAACTTCCCACCAGGCCTCCAGGGAGCCTCCAATTTTATCCCATCTCCATTATGCTTTGTAGAAAGACACATGACTTCTTTATCTCTCAAAATAAGAACCAGGCTTCTTGGACAGATGATGCAAGAAGGCAATTATGGGCACACCAATTGCTTCCACAGCTTGGAAGAGAAGTCCCTGATATACAAACATGCTGCTCTGCTCTTCAAAAAGCCTCTCAATCTGGAAGGAAGGTCACTTGAGCCCAGATGTTCAAGGCTGCAGTGGGTTACGCTGTTGCCACTGCACTCCATCCTGGATGACAGACCGAGATTCTGTCTCAATAAATAAATAAATAAATAAATACCTCTCAATTTGGACTGTGTTTGATTGCATAAGCCCTTTCCCCATCTCCAACAGATTTTATAGTTAGAAGGGAAGGGACGTTTGAACAGATATTGGGACAAATTGAAGCAGGATTTCTGAGAAAATGCAGTTACAACTTTAGTATAATATCCTCCCTGCCAATCTAGTGGGGGCACAGTAAAAATAGATGAAGTGGCCTGCACAGTGCTAAGTGGCTTCAGTCCCTCATGCTTTTTCATATATTTCTACCAGGTTTCCAGAGCAGTGTCTGCTGCCAATCACAGGTGTTCACTGAGGAGGAACTCTGAAACAGAAAGTAAATAATACGCTAATTATCTTAGTTGGAGATAGGTGGGGAAAGGAATGCATGGCAGGGAGGGTCAAGTGAATATATTAATAAATAAGTAAATTTCCTAACAAGTAAAATATGTCTTTTGAAAGCTTCCAGACTAGATTATCTGTGGAGATTTCCAGAATCCCCCTGCCCCTGTGGAATATTCTACCATTTCTCTAACATCCTTATTTCCTATAGTAAATTCATAAAACAGAAGTTCATCTCTAAAATGAAGTCAGCATTCGGAGCAAAGAAACCCCAAAGCTGCTTAAAATTGTCTGGAGCTTTGGAAACACACCCAGAACTACTCAGGAAAGTACAAGTCCTTGTTCCCATCTTGCCGGCTTTGCAAAAGGGCTCATGTCCCTCCAGCATCATAAATTATCTTTCCAGTATGGGCCCTGGTTGAGTAGCGCAAGTCAAAGACAAAGGGCTGGTCACAGGCACATTTTGAAATAGGTTAAGCTTGCTTCTGGAGTAGTCTGTTTTTTCTGTGGAGCTCTGACCTACCTCGCTGGGTTCCTGAGCCTCTACTTTCTATAACTTAACTGGTAGCCTTGTCTTCCTCCCCTTCAGTCCCACTCCAGCTCACCAAACCTGGGCTGCCTTGGGCCAATCGCACATTCACCACAACATTAGAGATGTATATTTCTAGGGTTCAGTGATACTTACATTTCTGCATTTAAGATCTCAGACTCTTTGGGAGGCCAAAGTGGGTGGATCACTTGAGGTTGGGAGTTCTGAGACCAGCCTGGCCAACATGGTGAAACCCAGCCTCTACTAAAAATACAAAAACTAGCCCGGTGTGGTGGCGTGCACCTGTAAGGTGCATGGGAGACTGAAGCACAAGAATTGCTTGAACCTGGGAAATGGAGGTTGGAGTGAGCTGAAATCACACCAATGCACTTCAGCGTGGTTGACGGGGTGAGACTCTGTTTCAAAATAAAATAGAATAAAATAAAATAAAGATCTCAGACTCTATTTGGCTTCCAACCCCTCAGTCAATTATAATTTGTTAGTTCTGTGATCTTGGGGGCAACCACAAGGCTTTAATAAGTCATGTTTTCTCATCTGCAAAATGCAGATTATAATTATATTTTTGGAAATTATTTTGAAAATTAAGTGCACAAATGTGTGAGGTATGAAATGTTCTAATGCATGGGCAATACTCAATAAATATGAGAGGTCTTCAAGAAGTTCATGGAAAATGCGTATTATGGAAGAAACTATCCATTGACCCCAAAATTTTTGCACCAAAATAATCTCATACTAACTTGTTATAACACATCTAAATAGGACCTAGATTGAGGCACTAAGAAGGATAAGACATCACTTTGAAAAGAGCTTCTCTCAGAGCGACGTGAATTTGGCTACAATTGAAGCAAGAACAAACATCATATTTATGATGAAGCATGGGTGGAAGAATGGTGAAATAATTGATGCTTTAAAGAAAAGTTTATGGGACAATGTCCCAAAGAAACCAGCAGTTTACAAATGAATAACTTGTTTTAAGAAGGGACAAGACAATGTTAAAGACGAAGCCTGCAGCCACAAACCATCCACAACAATCTTTGAGGAAAACAATGAAACTTGTTCATGCCTGAATTGAAGAGGACCAATGATTAACAGCAGAAACAACAGCCAAGTCCACAGTCATCTCAACTGGTTCAGGTTACACAGTTCTGACTGAAAAATTAAAGTTGAGCAAACTTTCCATTCAGTGGGTGCCAAAACCATGCACCCAGATGAGCTGCAGACAACGGCAGAGCTTTCAATGGAAATTTTAAGCAAGCGGGATCAAGATCCTGGAGGATTTCTTTGAAGAACTGTAGCAGGAGATGGAACATGGCTTTACCAGTATGATCCTGAAGACAAAGCACAATCAAAGCAATGGCTACCAAGTGGTAGAAGTGGCCCAGCCACAGCAGAAGTGGACCGGTCAAGAGCAAAGGTCATGGCAACCATTTTGTGGGATGCTCAAGGCATTTTGCTTGTTGACTTTCTGGAGGGCCAAAGAATGATAGCATCTCCTTATTATGAGAGTGTTTTGAGAAAGCCAAAGTTTTAGCAGAAAAATGTCTAAGAAAGCTTCATCAGAGGATCCTTCTCGACCACGACAATGCTCCTGCTCATTTCTCCCACCAAAAAAGGGCAATTTTGTGAGAGTTTCTATGGGAGATCATAAGGCAGCCACCTTACAGCCCTGATTTGGCTCCTTCTGACTTCTTTTGGTCTCCTAATCTTAAAAATATCTTTAAAGGGAACCCATTTTTCTTTAGTTAATTATGTTTAAAAGACTGCATTGACATGGTTAAATTCCCAGGACCTTCAGTTCTTTAGGAATGGACTAAGTGGCTGGTATCATTGCTTACAAAATTATCTTGAACTTGATGGAGTTTACATTGAAAACTAAAGTTTATATTTTTAATTTTATGATTTCACTCAAATTTTCCACTAACTTTTTGAAGGCCCTTTATAGTACTATTATTACTATTGTTATGGTCTAAATAATATTTAACCCAAACAAAATATTTCATAATGATAGGTCCTTATAAATCATTAAGAGAAACAGGATGGAAAAAAATTTTGTCATAGGTTAACTCTGTTTTTCTATCTATCTTACTATCTATATATCTTCATCATCATCATCATCATCTATATGTCTATATCTATAATAGGGGCACATGAGAAGATAATGGGTAAGATTTAAAATTGAAAATGTCTCCATTTCTAGGGTGCATGATTTTCACCAATATGAACAACATTACCTATATGAGCCATGGGTGTGCATTTATAGGATCTCCCATTTTAATGACTTTAGTCATTGAATTCATTTATTCACTTCATCACTCAATCAATATTTAATGAGAGCCACTAAGTGCCAGGGCTTGGTTTAGATGATGGATCCACAGGAATAATAGCCTATGGTTCTTGACTTTAAGAAATTCATGGTTCCACTATGAAACCAACAACTCAATAAAAACATTCAAGATGAGTCCAATATTAAATGAACTCGTTAATGCTTGTTAACGTCTTTCTATGTAGAATCTGACCCACCCCCAGTGGCCTCACAAATAATTCTTGAGAAGATATTCTTGTTAAGTGGCTCAGCCTCCCCAAAGGGGTGTTAACAAAACATTTCTCACTGGGGCCTATGACTACTTGTAGTAGCCCCACACACCTTTGTAAGGAATAAAGGTTCATTCAAGAGAATTGTTTAAAAAACACATAAACTATGAATTCTAACAGTTTTCTAAAACCTATTCTTGATTTAAGCCTGATGAACAGAGAATGAGGAATCTGGACTCCATCACTTTCATTATCAATAAGCTCTACACCCTTAATATTTGTTCTTGCTCTGGTATCATTGGCCCTCACTTAGGGATGTGATTTTAAAAATCCTAGCGAAATTTATTAGATCAATTAAAAAATATATTGATTTTGCCCCTTGGACTATTCTCTTTTTGCTACAATTTCAGCATTGTATCATGCCTTTCAGTGTACAAACATCCATCTTTAAAAAAAAATGCTCCCTTGATTACATATAACTCTCCAGATACTTGAGTGTTTCTCGGCTCTTCTTTTGAGCATCTTTTAGAAAGAGTTGTCCTCACCTCCAACCAAGCCTCCATCCCATACAGTCTGGCTTTTAGTCCTACCACTAAATGGAAAGACATGATTTAAACCATCAATTAAATCATTTCTGTTATTCACTCTCTTATGTTATGTAGTCACTCACTCTCTTCCTCTTGAAACACCCTCTTGTCTCCAAGCTTGGCCTTCCTGGTAGCTCTCTCCTCTTTTCCCTCCCTTCTTGGTCTCCGTTGTTGGGGTCTGTCCCTCTTCCTGACCTCTATACTGATTGCTGGGGACTCAGTCCTTGGATCTTTTCTAATGTTACCCTTCTCACTAGGTGATCTCATCTATTCTTGTGGATTTAAGCACTGGATTCAACGATTTATTTTTAAAAAACTTAATGTATGTCTGCAACTTGGAATTCTCTCCGAATTTTAGATACTTATCTCACTCCCTTGCACACACCATCAACATTTAAATGGATCTTGAATGTCTCACACTTAAGCAGCTCTAAAAGAATTATTTATTTCCCCTTTATCAGATATACATATTTTTAAACATCCTGGCTTCCCTGTCTTGGTAAATTATTCCACCATTTTCTTCGGTACCCAAACCATAAACTCAGTAGTTACCCTTGATTCCTTATTTTCTCTCCATTTTATTCCTAATTCATCAGGCATATTTTATGGACTCTACTTCCCACATACAGGGCACATTGGTCTACTCCTTTGACTCTCCAGTGCCAGCAGAGTGCTCAGGACTCATCGGCTCCCAAATGGAATCCCACAACTAGACGCTGCTTCCAGTTGGCTTCTTCCTAACACACTCCCTACAAAACAGATGGGTTCTTAAAAGAATTGAATCTTATCACTGTTGCCAAGTGAAGAATGACTCGGTTTATAAACTTAGCAAAAAGAGCTGGATGACTCATCAAGGGTTGCGGCCTGCAGGGTGGCCATTCTGACAGGCTGGGATGCGTAGTCTCCGGCCAGAAGGCAAAAACAGACACTTTGAGGGAGAGGCAATGGGAAGAAATTTATGCTGAGTGGGGTAGCCAAATATACATAATCAAAAAGCTGGGAGGAGTCATGAATATTTATGAAAGGAGAAATATGTGTATGTTCAATTAGGCTTCATGCCCCTTCATGGGTCCCATGTTCAAAAAAATGGCAGCATTATTATGACCTGAGAGTGGAATTTTCTGGCCTCTGACATCAAAAGATGAAGCAGAGGACATTACAATCCTTACTGCGCATTCTCCCTAGACTGGCTAGAGCCACTCCCTGGTCTCTTATCAGGAGAAAAGGAGGGGCAGTGTCAAGCAGTTGGTTAGTATCAGTGGTGGAGCCTTTTGAAAGGGCTGGTTTCTGTTGGACCCTTAGGGAAGAAAGGCTAACCATTGTTAGAGACGGAGGGGATATCAGGAAGTGAATCCGACCTACCATTTTGCCATGGCCTAGAAATCAGTTTTCAAGGTTACTCGGGGATGTCCTTGACCAAGAGATTGTTCATTCAGTCAGTTGGGGGGCTTAGGATCTTATTTTTAGTTTACACTCTACTCCTTAAATATTCTAATAGTTCCTGTCCTTCTGGAATAACCTCTGAGTACTTTATCTTGGCCTACAAAGCCGTGAATGATTTCTCTTCAGCCTTATCTTGATCCATTTCAGTCTTTGAATTCCTCTGGCTGACCCAGTACTTTCCTGCCTTCAGCTTTTGCAGAAGCTCCCATCTATGCCTGAAATGTTCTCACCCTGACTCTTCACATCTTTTGCATGTCAACTCAAATGCCACCTTTCATAGAGGCACCTCATCAGTACCCATCTAAAGAGAGCCCACATTATTCCCTATTCCATCCGTTATTTATGTCTGAATCATCGTTCTGAACATTCAGTGGATTTTTTTTTACTGATAACTCAGTCTTTTCTTTCACTCTTGAAAACTGTTGTTTCTGTCATTATTTCCCTTCCTCAATATTTCTGCTCTTTCTGAAGTTTTATTGAACAGATATTATACTTCCTACACTTATCTTTCGTAACATTTAACTTTCCTCATGCTAGCACTTGGTGTTTTTTTTTTCTTTTTAATCTGTTTTGAGAAATTTTCTGGGCTTTATGTTTTAGACAAAAATTTAGTTTCTGGCAATTTCTATTTTACTATTTTCTTATTTTTTTTGTAATTATATTTTTAATTGTCTCAATAGCTTTTCCTTATTTTTTAATTCTCTTTCATAACACTGTGTTCTTACTTTCTGTATTAGATAGTTTCTTAAACCTTTCTCTTTTTTTTTTTTTTCATTTTCAACTCTTATTTTAGGTTCGGGGATACATATGCAGTATATGGGTAAATTGCATGTTGCCAGAGTTTGATGTACAAATAATTTTGTCACCCAGGTAGTAAGCATACCCTCACACTCCCACAGCCCTGCACCCTCAAGTAGACCCCAGTTTCTGTTGTTTGCTTATTTGTGTCCATGTGTTCTCAGTGTTTAGCTCCCACTTATAAGTGAGAACATGTTATATTTGGTTTTCTGTTGCTGCATTAATTTGCTTAGGATAATGACCTCCAACTGCATCCATGTGGCCACAAGGGGCATGATTTCATTTTTTATGGCTGTACAGTAGTCCATGTTGTATATGTACCACATTTTCTTTACTCAGTCCACCACTGATGGGCAGCAAGGTTGATTTCATGTCTTTGCTATTGTGAATTGTGCTACAATGAATATGCAAGTGAATGTGTCTTTTTGGTAGAACAATTTATTTTCCTTTGGGTATATACCCAGTAATGGAATTGCTGGGTCAAACGGTAATTCTGTTTTTTAAGTTCTTTGAGAAATCTCCAAACTGCTTTCCATAGTTGCTGAATGAATTTACATTCCCACCAGAAGAGAATGTGTTCCCTTTTCTCTAAAACCTTGCCAACAGCTGTTATTTTTTAACTTTTTAATAATAGCCATCCTGACTGGTGTGAGATGGTATCCCATTGCGGTTTTGATTTGCTTTTCTTTAGTGATTAATGATGTTGAACATTTTTTCATATGTTTGTTGGCCATGTGTATGTCTTCTTTTAAGAAGTGTCTGTTCATGTCATTTGGCCTTTTTTTAGTAAGGTTATTTGGTTTTTGCTTGTTTTTTTTTTTGTTTTTTTTTTTTGTTATTGTTGTTTGTTTTTTTTTGTTTGGTTTGGTTTGGTTTTTAAGATGGAGTCTTGCTCTGTCTCCCAGGCTGGAGTGCAGTGGCGCAATCTCAGCTCACTGCAACCTCTGCCTCCCAGGTTCAAGCGATTCTCCTGACTCAGCCTCCCGAGTAGCTGGGATTACAGGGTTTCACCATGCTGGCCAGGCTGGTCTCAAACTCCTGACCTCAGGTGATCCACCCACCTTGGCCTCAAAAAGTGCTGGGATTAAAGGCTTGAGCCTGTTTTTTGCTTGTTAATTTGCTGAAGTTCCTTATAGATTCTGGATACTAGACTTTTGTCCAATGTATAGATAACAAATATTTTCTCCCATTCTGTAGTTTGTCTGTTTACTGATAGTTTCTTTTGCTGTGCACAAGCTCCTTAGTTTAATTAGGTCCTATTTGTCTATTTTTGTTCTTGTTGCAATTGCTTTTAGAGACTTCTTCATGAAATATTTGCCAAGGCCTATATCGAGAATGGTAGTTTCTAGGTTTTCTTCTAGGTTTTTTGTAGTTTTCGATTTTACATTTAAGTCTTTAATCCATCTTAAGTTGATTTTTGTATATGATGTAAGAAAGGGGTGAAATGTCAATCTTCTGCATATGACTAGCCAGTTATTCCAGCATCATTTATTGAATGGGGAGTTCTCTCCCCATCGCTTGTTATTGTCAACTTTGTCAAAGATCAGATTGTTGTAGGTGGGTTCTCTATTCTGTTCCATTGGTCTGTGTGTCCGTTTTATATCAGTACCATGGTGATTTGGTTACTGTAGCCTTGCAGTATAGTTTGAAGTCGAGTAGGGTGATGACTCTGACTTTGTTCTTTTTGCTTAGAATTACTTTGGCTATTTGGGCTCTTTTTTGGTTCCATATAAATTTTAGAATTGTTTTTCTAATCCTGTGAAAAGTGACAGTGGTAGTTTGACAGGAATAGCATTGAATCTATAAATTGCCTTGGGTAGTATGGCCATTTTAGCAATATTGTTTCTTCCTATCCAGAGCATGAAATGTTTTTTCCAGTTATTTGTGTCATCTCTAATTTCTTTCAGTGGTGTTTTGTGATTCTCGTTGTAGAGATCTTTCATCTCCCTGGTTAGCTGTGTGCCTAGGTATTTCATTCTTTTTGTGGCTACTGTGAATGGGATTACATTCTTGATTTGGCTCCCAGCTTGAATGTTATTGGCATACAGAAATGCTACTCATCTTTGTACGCTGATTTTGTATCCTGAAACTTTATTAACGTTGTTTATCAAATCTAAGAGCTTTTGGGAGACTATGGGGATTTTCTAGGGATAGAATCATATAATCTGTAAAAAGAGTTAGTTTGACACCGTCTCTTTCTATTTGGATGCCTTTCATTTCTCTTACCTGATCGCTCTGGCTAGGACTTCCAGAAGCAGAAATCTTCTGGATAGAAGTGGTGATATGTTGGATAAGAGTGGTGAGAATGGGCATCCTCATCTTGTTTTGGTTTTCAAGGGGAATGCTTCCAGCTTTTGCCCATTTAGTGTGATGTTGACCATAGGTTTGTCATAGAAGGCTCTTATTATTTTGTGGTATGTCCCTTCAGTGCCTAGTTTGCTGAGGGTTTTTAACATGAAGGGATGTTGAATTTTATCAGAAGCCTTTCCTGCGTCTATTGAAATGACCACGTGGTTTTCATTTTTAGTTCTGTTTATGTGATAAATCTTATTTCTCAATTTGTTTACACTAAACCAATTTTGCATCCCAGGGATAAAGCCTATTGATCATAGTAGATTTGCTTTTTGATGTACTGCTGGATTCGATTTGCTAGTATTTTGTTGAGTATTTTTCTGTCTATGTTCATCAGGGATTGATATGGTTTGTCTGTGCCCCCACCCAAATCTCAATTTGAATCGTATCTCCCAGAATTCCCACGTGTTGTGGGAGGAACCTAGTGGGAGGTAATTGAATCATGGGGGCTGGTCTTTCCCATGCTATTCTCTTGATAGTGAGTAAGTCTCATGAGATCTGGTGTGTTTATCAGGGGTTTCTGCTTTTGCTTCTTCCTCATTCTCTCTTGCCACCACCATGTAAGAAGTGCCTTTCACCCTCCACCATGACTGTGAGAACTTCCCCAGCCATGTGGAACTGTAAGTCTAATTAAACCTCTTTTTGTTCCCAGTTTCAGGTATGTCTTTATCAGCAGCATGAAAACAAACTAATACATGGATATTGGTGTGAAGTTTTCTTTTTTCATTGTGTCTCTGTCAAATTTTAGTATCAGAATAATGCTGGCCTCATGGAATGAGTTAGGGAAGATTCCCTCCTCAATTTTTTGAAATAATTTCATTAATGTTGGTGCCAGCTCCTCTTTGTATATCTGGTAGAATTTGGCTGTGAAGCCATCTGGTCCAGAGCTTTTTCTGGGTGGTAGGTTTTTTGGTACCAATTCAATTTTGGAACTCGTTATTGGTCTGTTTAGGATATCAGTTTCTTCCTGGTTCAATCTTGGAGGTTGTATGTTTCTAGGAATTTATCCATTTCTTCTAGGTTTCTAGTTTGTGTGCATAGGGGTTCATAAGAGTCTCAGAAATTTTTTTTTGCATTTTTCTGGGGCTGTACACCTTTCTTTGGATACTGATTAGATTTTTGTTGTTGATGTTTAGTTCTTTTCTAAGGGCTATTTTTCTTTTTATTTACATAAAAATATTCTTGTGCAAGCTCTTGATTTTCCTCTAATGCTTTGTGACTTTTGGCTATTTGGGTATGTTTAGAAGTAAAGAACTAGCTTAATTAGTATGCAGGATACAGTATTTTTTCTATCATATGTCTCCTAAATGGGCCCCTCTCCTGAATAGGAGAAATAAATGTGAGTTTTGTAGAGTTTAATTGCATCTGTCAGAGAGGTCCACTTCTCCATTTTGTACATGGGCAGGGAACAGGCAGGTAGCCGAGAAGCAAGTAAATTGCCTGGGTAATGAGACTGACTCTCAAGTGGGAACATTTAATATGCATCTTTCTGGATGTCCAGATCTCATTTTAATTTAATCTGGATTCCCTTTTATGATCTTTAATTGTCTAAAGACTTTCCCTGTTGCTCTCTTAGACTTCAACATCTATACTAGGAGTCTTCTCTAAGATAATATTTCTAGTTATTTAGAAAAGAGTTCATAGAATTCTATCTAGTGAACAAGTGCTCCAGCCAGCTGCTCTGTATATGTCAGTGACAGAGAGGAGCTGGCTTACCTAGCTGATCTGGAAACAGTGCTTTAACCTTGAACTTGGATGATTGCCTCCAGCCCTCATTTACTGTGTGCATTTGTTAACCCCAGTGGGGTGTTCCTCAGACCTCTGTCAGGACTTCTCTCTGCAGCAGACTTTGCCTGTGGGTACTTGGAGTTCTAGATTTTTCTATGTTGGTTGTGCTCCCATTCAACCTCTTCTAATTTCTACTATTAAGAAATAGCTTACAATTTCAGAGCCACTAATAATATCCATGTGTGTTTTTAGCACAAAAGTTTATCATATATTTTAAAGAATCTTTACCATTATTTATGAGGGAATTTGGGAGGGATGGGAAGTAAATAGGTGAGCTCAATGCTATCACTATTTATTGGAAGTTCCTCTACATCTGCAGCAGTTTTATCTCCTTCCCTAACCCTAACCATTTCTTTCTAGCCCTGGGGTCCAAGATTCTTGTTTCACAGGCCTATCTTACCATGTTTAATGCACCCTTGTTAGTCACCATAATACATGTGGCATGGTGTGAGATATTAGTGAGTTAAATAAAATACATATGAGAAGCTCCAAGAGAGTCAGGTACGAATGATCTGTGGGCAAAAGGGTCAGTGTGACTAGGTGGAGTCATGGACGTGCACAGAGGAGCCAACACAATAGTCTTCACAGAGTGGGTAATTGAGCTCACTCTTGAAGGGAAAGAAGGCATTCGGGAAGGAGATGACCCCATGCAGAGAGGACAGAATTCTCTGGGCATAAGGTATGAAAGTATTACACAGGATGGGAGCCCAGTGTGCAGGGGATGAGACAGGATGCAAAATCAGGAGCCAGATCCTGAAAGGCTTGTGTCTATTGTACTAAACAATTTGGAATTTACCCTACAGGCAGAAGTGACCCATTGAAGGATTTTAAATGTGGACATAACGGGATGAATAAATGCTAACCTTTAGTCAGCTCTTAGGATGCACCAGGCAGTGCTCCAAGTGCATGCCAGGGGTTAAGTCATTTAATCATCATGATGACCTGATGAGGCCAATGTGAGGAATATCCTCATTTTCTACTGAAGATGTTGAGTCCTAAACATAAGTTTCCTAAGGTCAGGCTCTTCATCTGTTCACAGATGGGCCCTGGGTTTCTAGCTCTGGGCCAGCGTGATGAATGTATGCAGAATGAATGAATGAATGAGGCTCACGGGTTACACACACAGGGAAGGACAGAGCTAGGACCTGAAGAAGGGTGGCCTTATCCCAAAGCCTACACATTTAACCACTATCATCGTTTCTACATTAAAAAGATGAAAAAGATAATGCTGGGTAGGGGAAGAGATTGGAATGTGATCTGACTGGAAGGAGACTAACAATAAAATTACATGCATTATATAGTGTAACTCAAAGTATAATCACTGAATATTAATTTGAAAATAAGCATTGTGGGAAAAAGTAAATACTATATATTTACTTGTTTAATTTTTTGACTTTTTCCACTAGAATCTGCTCTCCCTGAGGTCAAAGATTTTGTCTACTTTGTTTATTGTTGCATCTTTAGCACCTCAAAGAATTTCAGGCATAGAATGGTTGATCAATAAATATTTGTCAACTAAATGAATGGTTATGTAATTTTGAAAATATTGTATATTGGATCTTCCTCTTGGTGATTTATAACCTATATTAGCATATTAATGGCAATAAAAAACTTTGATTTTTTTAACCTAGTTTTTAAAAATTCTATTTACCCTCATACCATTTTATTCTTAGAATTAGTGTTTTTCTTATAATTATTGTATTAGGATTAGATATACTTTGAGGGAACTTCTCTTCAGGAAGTTTCTACTCAATATATTGTTATATCAAGGAGTTATTTTACATGCTGGAAAATATCCATATTATAAATTATTATAAGTAATTAATAATTAATATTAATAATGATATCCACTCATTATTAATAAAACAAAGAAACTGTTTTAGACAATGGCATACCCAAGCAAAGCAAGCAAAGTGTGTCCTATTTGGATTAAGTCAAGTTAGCACTGGTAGGGCTGCATGGGGTCTATAGAGATTCAGAGGTTTTTTTGTTTGTTTGTTTTTATGAAGATGAAGTCTTGCTCTGTCACCCAAGCTGGAGTGCAATGGGGCAATCTCGGGTCACTGCAACCTCTGCCTCCCGGGTTCAAGTCATTCTCCTGCCTCAGCTTCCCGAGTAGCTGGGATTACAGGTGCCTGCCATCGTGCCCAGCTAATTTTTGTATTTTTAGTAGAGACAGGGTTTCATCATGTTGGCCAGGCTGGTCTCGAACTCCTGACCTCAGGTGATCCACCCGCCTCAGCCTCCCAAAGTGCTGGGATTACAGGTGTGAGCCACCGTGCCCAGCTAGAGATTGGGTTCCTAAGGATACCCAGTGTAACGTGAGAAAGGTGGATGCTTATAATTTTAGAATAAGTTTGTACAGTGCTAAGGATTAAGGAATAGGAGCCTGTGGTTCCCCTAGGCCTGCTTTTTTCACTATTTCTTGCCTTTCCTCTGCTCTGTAGTGAGCCACGGATGGTTAGGAGGAGGGGACATCTGCAGGCTGCATCTCCCAGACCTCCTGTCATCTGGCTTTTAGATGAATTCAGCCAATGGCAGGCACTGGCATGAGAAAGGAAGGAGATGCCAGGGCATTTTTCTTCCCTTTTAACTGGTTCAGGCGGGTCTCCAGTAGCAAGGCTGTCCCTCCACTGTATGGCTACCTGCGGTGCAGACCACAGTTCTTCTTTTTTTTTTTTTAATGGAGATTTTTTTTCTTTATTGAGAAACGTAAGACTTGGGTAATCAAATGAAACCAATTTCTGGGGGGAAAAAATCAAAACCCACAATAGAAAAAAAAAAGTTAACACTGTCTGGGCCACAGCAGAACCCAGAGAACATATTCGTATCATTGAAAAATTCTAGGCGCTTCACAATTGACCTTTTGATACAAAATGACCTATTAAATTTGCAATTTGTAGTTCTTGGTGTTGAGGTCCATAGGACAAGCTAGGAAGACTTCAAGCCTTGAGCTGAATTCCATGAGGGGTTATTTGGCTTTTGAATCGGTTTTTCCTTGTCTGAGTGGTAGCAGCAGCAACAGCGCCCACCTTCTGGGCAGCTTCTTTCTTGGCATGATGAGCCTGTAGAACTGCTACAGCTTCATCCACCTTGGAGCGGAGAGACTCGGGGGACTCTAACACGTGCAGCAGCTCAGAGTTGTCGATCTCCAGCAGCATTCCCGTGATCTTCCCAGCCAGGTTTGAATGCATTGTTTGGATGAGTGGGAACACGCGTTCTCCCAGCATCTGCTTCTGTTCCGTGCGGGGGTGCTGCAGCCAACATGGAGGCAGTGAGTGGCTCCCGCCCCTGCACACGGACCGCAGGCTGGGGCGCCGGCTGAGGCTGTATGGCAGGATGAGGGCTGCGGACACAGGAGGCGTATTTGTAGGGGGCAACATCCTGGGGAGCAGCAGCAGCAACAGCAGCGCGCGGCGCAAAATTCTGCCCAGCTGTGGGAACGCCTCCAGATTGGCAGCTGGGAGGCACCAGCCCCACCAAAGTCCATAGCCAAGCAAGACCACAGTTCTTTAGGATGAACTCAGCGCCAGGGATATGGGAGCACCACATCATCCCTTCTCTACTCCAGCCTTAGGATGGTGGCGACATCCTGATGTTACTAATTCCTGAGTTGCCTCATCGCCCCCTATTTGTTTCTGAGATCCTTCACTACCTCTGAAAGCTGAATCCAATTCCCCCTGCTTTGAATACTTGGAGTTACTTTTGTTTTCTTAGTCGTGGCCTAAATGATATGGTCAACAATAACAAATAAAGGAAAGAGTGCTGCTGGAATAATTGTTCTAATCTACAAAATGAATGACTGGTGGAAAGATGATTTTCGTTTTTGAAATTCAAAGATTCTATAAATGGCATTTTCTAAAGTGCTGTCTAAGGGTCATCTGCTTCAGAATTCCTAGAAAAGTTGATTTAAGATGCATGTTCCTGAACTCATCTTTAACCTGCTAACTCAGAATCTCTAGGGGATGGCAGGGGATTGTGCAATATCAACCTACTGCCTACCGCCTTTTTGAAAAATAAAGTTTGAAATAAAATGGTCTACTCTATTTGAGCTTCTTGGGAATGTTTTGAAAAGAAGTGACACAATGTGCATTAAGGTATCCTGATGGATTTTACGTGTGCTCTATTTCAAGAGATGTCACCTGTCAAATCAATAAATTTAGACGAGTTTGGTTAATTTTTAAAACGTCACATTGTATGAACCTTCCAAAAGTAAACTACGTCCTAAGAAGTGGTAAATATGTTGCACTTACCACTAAGAAATTTCATAATCTACAAAATAATGAATACATAAATATAAAACTATGTACAAGCCAGATGAGTTGGCACACCCCTATATTCCTAGCTACTCAGAAGGCTGAGGCGGGAGGATCAGTTGAGCTCAGGAGTTTAAAGCCTGCCTGGGGCTAGCTGTGGTGGCTCATGCTTGTAATCCCAGCACTTTGGGAGGCTGAAGCGGGCAGACCACCTGTGCTCAGGAGTTTGAGACCAGTGGGGACAACATGGAGAAAACCCGTCTCGACAAGAAATACATAAATCACCCGGGCACAGTGGTGCATGCCTGTAGTCCCAGCTACTCAAGAGGCTGAGGCAGGAAAATCGCTTGAGCCTGGGAGGTGGAGGCCACAGTGAGCCATGATGGTGAAACTGCACTCCAGCCTGGTAGACCGTGAGACACTGTCTCAAAACAAAACAAAACAACAACAACAACAACTCAGCCTGGGCAACATAGCAACACCTCATCTCTATAAAAAACAAAACAAAACAAAACAAGAAACCAAAAAGAAAAAAAAAAAAACTATTTACAGACCAAAATTGCATGCCATTCTTGTTAAACTAGTGACTGCCAAAGCTGTTTTATCATATCCTGAAAAAACTGAACTTATGTAAAGGGTAGTAAGTATTTTAAATACATTTCCAATCAAGATAAGTTTTAATACATTACTTAAAATATTCAATGTGCAACACTTTAAAGAGAAACTAAATAGGTCGGGTGCTTCAGTGATAAAATATTTTCTTAGCCTAGGTTTCAGCAAAAAAGCAAAGCTTGAGGCAAGCACTGAGTGCAAATAGTTTTTTGGTGGTGGTTGGGGGGCGGCGGACTGGGGGGAAGTGAACTCAAAGTGGAGAAGCAGGAAAATGGGAAAAGAGGAAGCCAGTCCAAGAGTGCTACAAAGTTGATTGTGACTACAGGCAACTGAGGCTGGATCCCACTGGGCATACTTCAATGAGTCAAATAGAGTAAGTGCGCTTCAAAATCGCCCTCCAGTTACATAGAAGAGGGAGGATTTATCCCTCAGTTCTTTTCCTTCATTGGTCAGTGGTTACCCCATGTTATGTTGACTTGTAACACTTCCAGGCATGCGTATAGGTTAGTCGCTGAATGGGACTTTGCAGCTAATCTATGCAGTGATGGCAAAGTAATTCTAGTAAAACAAGAAAAGAAAGAAAGAGCGAAATAACAGAAAAAAGGCACACGGTAGAGCTGAGACAAGCTGCTGATAGGATATACCGGTAATAATGGCTTCTGTAAGAAAGTGGGCAAAAAAAATGAAATACAGCCTAAGGGGAATCTAATATACCTTTTAAAAGATCTTTAATCGTTATCAGAAATGACTCCAGGCAAAGGGGTGTGGGTTTTTTCAAATGCGTGAATTATAAATATTTTATTTCAAGAAATGGTTTTTGTATTTTTAGTCTAGATTCTGTTTATGGCCCATCTCTTCTCCTTCTGGCCTGATGGGAAACATTTGTCCCTTTGTAGTTAGCATGCAAAACTTGGAAAGCACCCATGAAATAAAAGCAGGTTAAAATAAATTTCCTATGACATAAAATTAACCATCAGAGCTATGCCTTAGAATTGTTTATTTGGTGGCTGGAAAGAGTCTTGTTGGACACTGAGCAGATTACGGAGTTGCCACCAAAAGGACTTCTAACATAGGTTTCTCTTAAATCATTCTGGTGACAATGTAAGCTATGGTATGCTGGAAGCATTTGAAAAAGTTCATGATGTGTCTCCAGCTCTCTTCTCATAAGCACAGGGAGTCATTGTTTTCTTCTCTGGATGGTCTCAAAATCCTCCATAGCTGTCTCTCCCCCAGCTCTCCTTCTGTGATTTTCACTGCTCCTTATCACGTTGTCTTCTATTTTGCCATTAATATTTTTACAGAAAAAAACACTTTTTTAAACTTTTCTATTCTCTCTGCCAGTGTAGATCCATTTGTATTAATCTATCTCCAACCTGAAATTCCTCCAGAAACTGTTTAGGCTGCCGGTGCTGGTTGGTACCTGCTTCTTACGTATTAGTAAGAGCCTAAACCCTGGAGTTCATCAATCCTCTGTTTGTATCTGGGCTCCACCACTTATAAACTGCATGAATCTGAAATGCATCTTAACGATTTGAGCCTCATGTTTTCTTCTGTGAAATGGAGATATTATTTCTCACAGGATTATTGTGAAACCCAAATGAGGTAATAGCTGAAAAAGAGTAAACGCTTTGTGTCTGCATTGTGTCTGCAACATAATATACACGTGTTAAATGATAATTAACATCATTATTCAGTGCCATCATCAATTTATGTTTTTCATCTGTATCCTTAGATGTTATCTTGAATTTAACAGTAAATGTAAAGACAGAATTCCCAGTAGCAATAACTTGACATCAGTCTTGTCTACTGGCTTTAAACGGATGCTCTTTGAACCACAGGGCTGATAAACCAGGTGTGTAGAGACCTGTAAATAGAAACAAGTCTAATCACATGTTATTTAAAAACAAACCTAGATGGCAGAAGCAATTCTTCAGTGAAGGCTTCAAGCAACACCTCCAAACTTCTGACACATCTGGGAAGCGGTACTGTAGAGCTGACCTACCTTGAATGAGACCTTTAAATGTGAGTAGTTTTTACTGACTTTCTCAGAGTCACAAATAGCAGTAGATTTTGTTGCTGCGCTTGCAATCATGTGAAAAAAAATGCAAGTTTCACATGTGGACAGTGAGGAAATGATTCTTGGTCTTACTTTGTGCTCTTCAATCCCACCCAAAGTGCAGTCAACACCACACAGTAAAAGAACGTTTTACTCAAGTTGGTGGCTCAGACAGGCAAGCTGAAGACCAAAAGAATAAGAAAATAAAGTTGATTTTTTGAAATCTAACTATTAACCACACTGGCATGTGTGAATTAACTTCTGCAGTGAACCAGAAACTTTTCTGCAAATATGAGGACAAAGAGTTTGGGAACTCCTCAAACACTTATTAAGGTATCTTGGTTGTGAAATCAGGAAGGTGGGATAGGACTAGGATTGGAATGGGGTGAGTAGAAACCTAACCAATGGCCTTTGACTATTTGGAGAGACTCTATACACACAGAAAAGGCTGCTCAGCTTGAAACATGAGAAAAGGAATTCAGGGAGCCAGAATTTCACAGGGTTTATCTAAAGGCCACCCAGGAGAAAAGCTCACTGGCTGTAATATGCACAAGACTGTCATCATAAAGATGCTTTCTGCCGAGGAGCAGGGCTAACCTGATCTTCATGGGTACATGATAGCATCATGGAATTCTTAGGAGATGACTTTTTGAAACTGGCCCTCAAGAATTGCTTGCAGGCATAGTTATGTTTAGATCTGAGGTCTGATTACCCCACATTAAGAAATGAAGTCTTGATGCTTTTTGTGATAGTTTGTATAGCAATCTTACCTCAACACTGCCAGTCTACTTTTTTTTTTTTTTTTTCTGAGACAGCGTCTTGCTCCATCACCAAGCTGGAGTGCAGTGGCACAATCTCAGCTCACTGCAACCTCTGCCTCCTGGGTTCAAGCAATTCTCCTGCCTCAGCCTCACAAGTAGCTGGGATTACAGGCATGTGCCACCATGCCCAGCTAATTTTTGTATTTTTAGTAGAGGCAGGGTTTCACCATGTTGGCCCGGGTGGTCTCAAACTCCTGACCTCAGAAGATCCACCTGCCTCAGCCTTCCAAAGTTCTGGGATTACAGGCATGAGCCACCACGCCCGGCCGAAGGTGGGGCCTTCTTGCCCAACCAATTTTGTCTTTCACGTTACTGACCCAGATGATTCGAAGAACGAAGATAGCTATTGGCCTCATCTCTCTCCATCTCTCTGTCCTACCCCACCACCCCTTCTTACCCTCTCTCCCTCTCTTCCCCTGTTCACCACTAGGAGCATAACAAGCCTGCTCCTCCTGAATCAGGGTGACCTCTGTGCACTGTAAAGATGCAACTCCTTCAAGACTGGCTGGGCTACTCAGGCTCTGATCACAGGCTTCCTCCACCAGTGAGCCAGCCTGCCAGTCAGTCATTCATGAAACATTTATTTAGAATTTGCTGTGTTTCAGGTAATGATAAAAAAAATAAAATAAAAGAAGAAGGAGGAATAAACTTGATCTTCCTCTTTAGTAATATGCAATTTATCTTTCGGATTTTTCGAAGGTTGATTCTCTAACTGCAGGTCAACGCTTCTTGACTCCCTGGTTTTCCTTCTTGACTCACTGCTCAGGAGACTGCCCTTTTAGTGATAATTCTGCTCCACTTCTGCTTTCAACCTGCATATTCTTCATGAGGAATCTACTGGATCCTTGATCCTATACCCACCACTTCTCCACTGGGTTTCCCTTTTCTTAGATTCATCCGTTTCCATTAGCAGCCACATTCCTCCAGACACTGCCATCGCTGTGACACTAATTTGGCTTGCCTTCTGGCAACTGAACTATTATGCCTCTTAATACAATCGTCCCATCTACTCCCTGAGGAGTGCCTGGGCAAGTCTGGTGTTCTGGGGACCTGGTTGCAGAGTCATATTAGTGGACAACTTTTCTGTTGCTTTCTGATGCTACTGCAGGTGGTGATGATGGTACCAGCATGCACACTTGTCAACATTATCACATTCAGTCCCACAACAGCAACAACAGAAAGGAGGTGAAGATATCATCCACACGTTAGCAACCAGAAGACTTAGCTCCTCAAAGTAAAGTAGTTTGCCCTATGTCACCAAGTGGAAAGTGGCAGGGATAGCTTTACCTGTTCCTGAAACCCAGGCTGTTTCTCAAGAATATCTCCACTATGCTATATTGCTTCCCTTGCAACTCCATTCCAGAGTCTCCTGACTCCTAAAAATCCAGAAACATGTCTCCAAGCAAAGCTAAATCAGTGCAGTATCAGAGAAAACGGCAAAAGTTAGTCATTGTCTGTGAAAACTCTTTCTAAACTCAAATACCATTTATGAATTCCTCTCTCTCTTCTAACATAGATAATTCACATTTATTTAGCATTTTTGCCTAAGTTAGCTCTTTGCTGATCATACTGGGGAAATGGCACCCTATTATTTGGGCCATCTTATCCAGCTGAACATTCTAATGCATTACTAATTCCAAAACAATTTTCTATGCCTGCAATGTCCACAATGATAGCCACTAACCACATATGGCTCTTGGGCACTTGAAGTGTGGCTAGTCTGAATTGAGATGTGGTGTAAGTGTGAAATACATACTGGAATATAAAATCTTTGTGTAAAAAATAAAAGCAGTATCTCGTGAATAATTTTTTTACTGAGTACATGTAAAAAATACTATCATGTAGAAATGACAGTATTTTGTATCTACTGGGTTAATTATGTTATTAAAATGCAATCACTCTTGTAATGTGGCTAGTAGCAAATTGTAAATTACATACGTGGCTCACCTTATATTTCTGATGGACAGCGCTGGCCGCTATAATCATAGCAATATCAGTTCAGTCTATCAGCTTTGAGGTGAATTGTTCTACTAGAGTGTATAATATTCTATTCTGTGAGACGGGCAAATGCTATCCTTTTTTATTTCTAGAACTTATTTCTAGCATTGGGTCTTCATGAAATTATGTCCTTTGAGAATGGTATGCAGTTCTGTGGTGGGGGATGCCCAGGCAAATCTGTAAAGGTCAGTCTTATGGTTCAGCATTGGGACTTGCTTACAACAGCACATTGTCTAAGCCAGACTTGGGCTCTCTTATGTGCTTGCATTTGTAGCAGCAATTATGGTTTCCAGGGTCAGACACTTTCAGGCAGTTAATAACCAGTTTGACTAAAGGTCCATCAGCTTCCTAGCCATTCATTAAATCCTAAGAAATGCCTTACCCCAAGGTCAATACTGCTTAGCTCAGTCATACTTTATGATTGAAAGAATGCCTTCCTCTTCCATTGTCAATAGTATTGATTGGCAGTTCTTTGGGTGGCCTGGTCATTTTTATTTGTCCCCCTTTGTTTTCAACTGTTAAGGAGATGACATCATCTTTTCTCTGACAATATGGAATTATTGCAATGCTGAAAGCTGAGTACAAGGAGGTCCACTGTCAAACTTTGGACCTCACCTCTTCATTATTATTGCAGAGTGACTCACAGGGGAAAGGAAATTCAGAGGAACAAGGGGGCCCATGCCATAAACTCTACAAATCACCAGGCTGATAAACCACCATCTTTACCACCAGTCACAATGCTCCCATTAGACTCAAACAGAAGAGTAGGTATGACTAATTCTTCCCTTTGCCCGCCAAAAATAAATCACAGCACTGAGCTGGAATGAGACACAGACTTTTCCAGGATGAAGAGTTGAGTTGGAGGCTGAGACATAGGAAACATTTTGAAAAGGAGCCAGGCAGCTTGAGCAGAGGATTGCTGAACACGCTCCCCAGACCAGATCCTTCATGAAAGCTGGGTTGTTAGAAGCAGCTGCCAGGACTTGCAGGATATGGTGGCAGGTACAGCATTTTACTAGACATGAAATATGTATTGTCCTTGTCAAAAGGCTATTCCCTAATCCATTTACATAAGCCTCTGTCCTTCAAAGACTTTTACAAATTGTTCATGTTCAGCGATCATTCCAGTTCTTCCCAAAAGCCATATATCTATAATTCACAGCAGCTTATGTACAAATATTTTGTTTGCATCTGATTCACTGATGTTCAACTGCATGACGCAAGGCAAGCAGTACCCGGGATGTAAAAGGTAGCAGAAAGAACCTGGATACTGGGATCAGGCAGATTGAACTATAATGTTTTATTTTTAATTTTGGATTTCTCATCTGTAAAATGGGAGCATTTATATGATTTGGTAGAATAAAATGTATAAAAGATCTATTGCAGTGCTAGTACCAAGTAACTATCATCATAATGTTTGGGGTTAGTCCACAGTAGAATGAAATGGCTGAAGCTTTTCATTATTTTTGGTAAGAATCAATACATTTATCAAGCCAGAACAATGACTTACACTGTTCTAGGAGTTACCTCCAAATCATGACTGGTTATTTGGAAACACCAAAAAATGAATTTCTTTTATGATTAAAATTATTATTGTACTTATCTAATCCTGACATTTTGGAATAATGTGGTATAATTTAGCATCAAAGATCAAGTTTAGAAAAGTCATTAGGAAGATGATGAAGATTTAATTCATGTAAAACTTCTTGGTGTTCACTTAGCTCATGCTTCAGTTTCATAATATACAGCCTATCACTGTGGGACGGACATCTGTCCTTTATACAGGTTGGAGAAGACAGAAATGAAAACAATACATTCTGGAGTGACAGGTCCTTGCATATAAATCCTAGTTCTATCCCTTAACTACTGCATGACCCGTGGTAAGCACCTCTCTGTACCTCGGATCCCTGACATATAAAAGAGAATAATGGTCCCAAAGAGATATTTGCACACCGATGTTCACAGCAGCATTATTCACAATAGCCTAAAGAGGGAAGCAACCCAAATGTCTATGGAGAAATGATTGGATAGACAAAATATGGCATATATACAATGAAATATTATTCTGCCTTAAAAAAGAAAATTCTGACATATGCTACAACATTGATGAACCTGGAGGACATTATGCTAAGTGAAATAAACCAGTTATAAAAGGACTAACACTTGATGATCCCTTCTACGTGAGGTATCTAGTGTAATCAAATTCATAGAGACGGCCAAGCACGGTGGCTCACGCCTGTAATCCCAACACTTTGGGAGGCCGAGGCGGGTGGATCACGAGGTCAGGAGTTTGAGACCAGCCTGGCCAATATGGTGAAGCCCCGTCTCTACTAAAAATACAAAAATTAGCCAGGCGTGGTGGTGCACATCTGTAATCCCAGCTACTCAGGAGGCTGAGGCAGGAGAATCTCTTAAACCCGGGAGATGGAGGTTGCAGTGAGCCAAGATTGTGCCACTGCACTCCAGCCTGGGTGGCAGAGCGAAACGCTGTCAAAAAAAATAGTGAAAAAGAAAATTCATAGAGATAGAAAGTAGAATGGTGGTTGTCATGATCTGGTGGGAGGGAAGAGTGGGAAGTTGTTTAATGGGTATCAAGTTTGCAAGACAAAAAGAGTTATGGAGATGGTTGGAGGTGATGTTTGTACAACCATGTGATTGTACTTAATGCCACTGAACTGCACACCTAAGAATAGCTGAGATGGTAAATATTATGTTATGTTTACTTTACCACAACTTTAAAAATTAAAATAAAAAGCTGAATAACAATATTAATTTCTTTACTTTTTTGTTGTTGTGTTGATTAAATGGACTAGTGTCTTCCATAATTTAGCCCAGTGCTGGGCACATACATACCAGCCCAATAAATTGTAGGTATCAAAAAATACAAAAATAAAAACAAAACACCAAAAACTAGCAATGGATATTTTTTGGATTCACAACTCTTGGCTCTGAGCTAAGACTGTTAAGGCTGAAAACAAGCTTAAAGTGTTCCCCAAACCTGGAGCGAGACAGCAGTTACGGGCGAGCCATGGTGAAGTCCTCAGCAAGACAACACTCCATCTTAGCCAAGGTGAGTGTGTGTTTCTTATAGTTCAGACAGAATGCAAAATAGCAAGTGGTGACAAAGAGGACAAGCAAGGTGCCTTAGGACGTGCCTGAGGGGAAAGGTCAGAAGGAAGTCCTCTGGATGGTGTCCCACTGTGGCGGGAGGTCACTGGGTGTGCCTGAAGTCCAGTCCTCAGAACACAGCCCCTGACGCTCAACCAGGCAGTAAATTTCCCTCATTATAAATGCCCTTCACAGTCCTTCACTCACTTGGATATGTCTTTTCCCTGAAGCTAACAAGCTTGGCAAACTTGCTCTTTTTCATAAAACATGGTGCCACTAGGAATATTTAGGAAAAAAAAAAAAAAAAGAATGTTTCCTAAGCAGCTGAGATGGTTGAGTACCTGTCAGGTTTGCAGGGGTCATCTCACACCGGGATATGCCCAAGCCCAGCTGAGGCTACCTAAGGTCGGGCAGCAGGAATCTTTCTCAAGGGGCTGGGTTAATTTGCTCTTTCAGTTCACTTGCACCATCCCTGCAAATCTGGCCATGCTCTCTTCCTAGTGATCTAAAATATTCCAGTTTTTAATTAGTTCCAGGCCAGTCAATGCGACTGCCCCATCCACACAATGCATTTGTGCCAATTCAAAGTCTGAAGCCGATGAACTAATACAGCCAACTGAAGACCTGTTGAAGGAGGCAAATGGGGCCGTGCTGCTGCTGGAAAATTTGCCTGGAGTGCCTGCCAGCCCCTGGGGCCCTTTCCAAGCCAGGCCTGAACCACAGGCCTGTTAGGAAAGGACTGCTGGATTCAGCCCTTACCTCTTCAGAAACCAAAGGGTAATTAAAGCATGGGATGCAAATTCCCCACAATATGGGGGATGTGTCCTATGATCTATAACATTATTGGCCCAGCACATGTTAACAGAAGTCATGAGCAAAATCCACAAAGGCCCAGCAGGATGGAGAAAAAAATTAATACAGGTACAGTTCCTTCTAAATATGTAGCCTCATTTGCCCCTGAAATACAGAGCCAAGCCATTTGAGTCTGCAGCTCCGTTTCACCCTTTGCTTCTGTATTGGATAGCTTTAGGGAATTTTACATCCAAAATTGTCTCTTAATAGTATTGCTTGGCATTTCTTAATTATGAAAAGGAAAAAATTCATATATCACATATATGTGTAATGTATGCTTGTGTATATGTGTGTATACATATAATTTGAGTTTGAATTAACATATTTAAATTCTGTATGTTTCTTCATATTACATTTTAATACAACACTAATGTGTAAATCATAACCCCCAAAATAAAATAATATGCATCTGGTAAAATTTCTCATGTCAGCCAGGATTATGTTTGCTACAATTCAATTCAGGTTTTATTAGACACACCGTGAATGTTAAACTTTCTCATTTTAAGTGCTCTCTAAAAACACACTTTTCATTCATTCATTCATTCATTTATCCATTTGATGTATATTTCTTGAGTATGTGTAGCCACTATGTGTCAGGCTAAACCTACCATTTAGCAGTGAACAATAAAAAATTCATAGATGAAACTCCCTCCTTCATGGAACTTATAATGTCATGATATTATTTACCTTCTTTTTTAAAAAGAAAATAAATGCATCCCGAATACTGAAGATTCTCAAGTGATTATTGCTAATTGTCATATGGTCATCATTTCTCTCAGCTTTTAAATCATATTTACAAACTCGGTGGGTGATCTTTGACTTTGACAAGTCCTCAATGTCATTGTCATATCACAGTGGAAATGGTATTGACCCCACACCTCTGCCATACTGCAACTCAGTGACTAATCCCACAAAGACCCTCTGGGGCTCATAATGGTTGGATCACACTTTTCATTCAGGAAGTATATGCTTTCCCAGCCTGGCATGGATACAAATTTTGGTTGAGATAGTAGGAAAAAGCACGGTCATTTTCACTGAACTGAATTAAAAAAGCAGTCACAAGATGGTTGGGTGCAAATCCCTCTGGGGGGAGAAAAATGAAACAGAGACTCCTTGTGTCTCAATGACCCTGGTGCCCCAACATCAAGGTCTCATGTCAGGTTGGCGGTACTCCCGTCCTCCTCTCACTGCTCTTCAGCATCCTGCCAGATTGCTCCTGACACTGCTCCAGCCCAGGTTTAAGGAGGAAAATGTCACATTTTACACTCCTGAGGATTTCTCCCGGCAACCTTCTGCTCCATACCACACCACAGTCTTACTTCCCAGTGTACAGCCTAATCCCTACTCTTGCAACTTCCCGAGTAGCTTCTCCCAACCCCTGGATGTCTGGTCACTGAAGAAGAATGTCATCACAGAGCAGGAAGAGTTTATCACAGAGGATCAGGTAGAAGGACAGAAATGTTTTGCTATGTGTCTATTAGAAATTCTTCTTTACCAAGACAGTAAAAAACCAAAAGAAAACTGGGAAGCAGCAGATCTGGCTTCACCTAGTCAGAATGAGCTAGACTTACCTATGACCTGCAGTGTTGACCAGGACTGTCAGTTAAAACTAAACACATTTCACAGTGGCAGCCAGCCAAAAACATAAATTCTGCCAAAAACTAAACACTGCACAAGGTCTGCCTAGTTTCAAAACATCTATGCCAACCCCACAATACACAGTGTGCTGTGAGTGTGATTTTGCAGAACCGCTGCAGGGACAGTCTGAAGGAAGGGGGTCAGCTCTGAAGGCCAGCAGCTCTCTAGGTTTGGGGAAGGGTCTTGGGATTTCTCTTTACCTCCTATGACATAATAAAAGCCAGGTGTGGGGGGAATGTCTATTAAAAAGGGTCATTTGGTTGGGTCATATGCCCACTAAATAGCTTTAAGAAAGGAAGTTTTCAGAGAGCCCCGGGGGAAGCATGAGTAGTCTTTCTGGGTCACCTCTTTAAGATAGTTGAGGTTGCAAGTAAAAGCAAAGTATACCATTGTAAGAAGGCTTAGCTTAAGGAAATAAGGACTATTGTTTTGTTTTATTGCTTATTTTAAAATTAGATGAGTCTTAGAAAACATAACGGCCTCAGACTTGTGGATTTTGCATCCCAGGCTAGGAAAGGCATGATGACATTTGGGAACCACATGGATATATCTAATGGCTTGAGAGCGTGAGAATCCATCAATAAAGGGCATACATTGTCTAAGAATATAAATACATGTGCATATTTTACTGCCTGTGTTTAACAAATATATTTGAGACATTTCTCTGTGCTGGGTCCTGAGGGTGAAACAATGAACGGTTCTCTCTGAGCACTTAAAAATTTTGTGGGAGATGGAGACAAGCAAGTAGGAAGCTGTGGAGGGTGGGGTGAATGCTAGCAGAAGGACAAGCACAGAGCTCTGTTGGGGTGGAGAGGAGGGACATCTTACTCCATCATAGGGGGGCGGGGAGTCAAAGAAATCAAAGGACTTTCTGGAAGGATATGAAGGACTATGGGAGTCAATTTAATGGAGAAGAAAAGAAAGAATTAATAGTGAGCTTATTGGCCAGGAGCAGTGGCTCATGCCTGTAATCCCAGCACTTTGGGAGCTGAGGTGGGTGGATCACCTGAGGTCAGGAGTTCGAGACCAGCCTAGCCAGCATGGTGAAACCCCATCTCTACTGAAAATACAAAAATTAGCCGGGTGGTAGTGCTGTGCACCTGTAATCCCAGCTACTTGGGAGGCTGAGGCAGGAGAATGGCTTGAACCTGGGAGGCAGAGGTTGCAGTGAGCCGAGATCACGCCACTGCACTCCAGCCCAGGAGACAAGAGAGAAACTCCATCTCAAAAAAAAAAAAAAAAAAAGAGCTTCTTATAGTTGGATTCCTCTTCAATTCCAGATTAGAATTTCAGTTTTCATGCTCATCATAGTGAAGGACCCTGAACCAAGGTCTTCTTGATGAGACATTATTATGCAGCCCCACTTCAGCTGTTTCTTTTTCACAAAAGATACTGACTTCCTTCTCCCTGCTCCGTGCCAATGACCTGAATTACCAGCCTCAGATTGCAATCCTATTTCAAAGAGGACTTCCCTGCTGCCTTCAACTCCTGCTTAAACACAACTAGCCTGGAGGAGTCTGTTCTAGTTCTCCACCCATATGAAAAGACCAATCAGAGTATCAATGCCCTTTGGTAAATACTAAAGTAGTCACATCTCCGGGAAGCATAATTTGGATCTGCTGGGCAATCCGTGAGACATCATACCCTCCTCCGCAATCCTCTATTTCAACTTCTTTCCAAAAAGCTCATGACAATCAGGTCCTATTAGGCTTTGTGATTGAAGCTATGTAAGTTAAAAGCCAAGTGTGGTGGTGTCTCTGTAGTCCAGATGCTCAGGGAGGCTGAGGGAGGAGGATCACTTGAGGCCAGCAGTTTGAGGCCATAGTGCACCATAATTGTGCCTGTGAGTAGCCATAGCTCTCCAGCCTGGGCAACATAGCAAGGCTCCATCTCTAAAAATAAATAAATTAATTAAAAACTAAGTAAATTATGAAGCTTAATTCAGTGTTTTGTTGTTGTTGTTGTTGTTGTTGTTTTTGAGACGGAGTCTCACTGTCCCCCAGGCTGGAGTGCAGTGGCACAATCTCGGCTCACTGCCAGCTCCGCCTCCCGGGTTCACGCCATTCTCCTGCCTCAGCCTCCCGAGTAGCTGGGACTACAGGTGCCCGCCATCACGCCCGGCTAATTTTTTTTTTTTGTATTTT
The DNA here is from genome assembly GCF_000001405.40 of Homo sapiens. Classification (NCBI taxonomy): domain Eukaryota; kingdom Metazoa; phylum Chordata; class Mammalia; order Primates; family Hominidae; genus Homo; species Homo sapiens. Next base: position 94,019,697 of record NC_000015.10, on the reverse strand, counting down.
TAGTAGAGACGGGGTTTCACCGTGTTAGCCAGGATGGTCTCGATCTCCTGACCTCATAATCCGCCCGCCTCGGCCTCCCAAAGTGCTGGGATGACAGGTGGGAGCCACCGCGCCCGGCCCAATTCAGCGTTCGATATTTGAAGACGATCTGGGTCAGAGGAGACCGCATGAAAAAAGAGTTTGGGGTTTTAGGGCAGTAAAGTTTACCAACTAACACCTGCGGACTTGCCCTCTCTTATTTCCCCACTAAAATGTGTATAAGTGCACAAGAGGAGGTGCAGAAATGGCAAAATTAAAGCCGAGACTACTGACTGTGGGCTGTCTCCCTGTGGGAAGACTTTCTCATCCTTGGCTAGGATGGCCTAACCAGGGGAGGCTTTTAACCAGGTTCTGACAACTGGAGTTACTTCAATTCCTTTGATCTTTTTTAAAAGTTAGTATCTCGGGCCCGGGCCAGGCCCAGTGACTCACGCCTGTAATCTCCGCACTTTGGGAGGCTGAGGCGGGCAGACTGCTTGAGGTCTGGAGGTCAAGACCAGCCTGGCCAACATAGTGAAACCCCGTCTCTACTGAAAATACAAAAATTAGCCGGGCGTGGTAGTGGGCGCCTGTAATCCCAGCTACCCGGGAAGCTGAGGCAGGAGAATCGCTTGGAGAATCACTTGAAGCCAGGAGGCAGAGGTTGCAGTGAGCCGAGATTGTGCCATTGCACTCCAGCCTGGGCAATAAGAGCGAAACTCTGTCTCAAAAAAAAAAAAGTAATATCTCAAAATATGTATTTATCTTCCAATATGTGAAATAATCCTGTATGAAAAACATGCAGTATTTATTTCACTCATCTAGACCCCAAATTCATGTTCCTCAGTAGCAAACACATACAATTCTTTCGATTTTTCTACTGGTATATAACCAACATGTTTGATATTTTCATTTAGAGAGATTATCTATTGTCTTCCACTAAAGACGATGAATATTTAATTGCTCTTACATTCTCCCCACCTCCAGAGTGGGGGGAAGAAGAGATACATCTTCTTCCTCTCTTCCATCATTTCCAGACTCTCAATAGGAGAATTCTGTTTGCATTATGATTGTACATGCTACCTAATGTTCACGAACTAAATTCTGCAGTGTGCTAGGATTATATTTATTTTCTTGCACAAAACTTTGGTTTTCTGGAGATTTTTGTTTATTTATTTATTTTATTTTTGAGATGGAGTTTTGCTCTTGTTGCCCAGGCTGGAGTGCAGTGGCGCCATCTCGGCTCACCGCAACCTCCGCCTCCCGGGTTCAAGCAGTTCTCCTGCCTCAGCCTCCCGAGTAGCTGGGATTACAGGCATGCTCCACCATGCCCGGCTAATTTTGTATGTTTAGTAGAGATGGGGTTTCACCATGTTGGTCAGGCAAGTCATGAACTCCCGATCTCAGGTGATTCGCCTGCCTCGGCCTCCCAAAGTGCTGGGATTACAGGCATGAGCCACTGCGCCCAGCTGAGATTTTTATTTTTTGTTTGCTTGGCTTGTTACGTGGTTGTTAGCAATTCTTCTTCCACAAAAACTCTGATAGACAAGGTACAACACATCCTCAGGAAGTCAGACACACCAGGTAATCTATGAGGCCCATCTTATACATGTTACTCCCAGAACCCTCTCTCCTCCAGCTCCAATCTGGGCTGGCTGGGTAACGAACAACACTAAACTCAGCGGCTTTATACAACATCCATTCTATCATCTCTCACGGTTCCATAGGTTGCTCAGCTGAGCAATTCTGACTAGGGTATCAAGACCTCAAGACTCCCTCCATCTCATCAGGCCTCAGGTGGCTCCATGTGGTGAGCTTGGGCCTCCTCATAGAATAGCCATCTCAGGGTTATTAAACTGTTTGGCTTTCTCCAGTATTCAAAAGCCAAAGGTACCAGATTTCTCAATGTTTGGACCTCAAAAGTCCCAGAATGTAATTTCTACTCAATTCTATTGTTCACAACAGTCACAAAGCTAGTCCAGACCTAAGAGAAGAAGGAATAAGCCCCACCTCTTCCCAGAGTCATAGGAAAGCCGCATTGCAAAAAAGGATGTGAGATGGGGGACTACATGATCAGCTATAGCTGTGTACCTTGTAATTCATGAAACCTCCCTCTCCCATCATTTTGATAGTTTCCTTTACCATCATCTAGAGCACATTTTCCAGTGTGGTGGTCAATAGGCACATGAAGTTATTTAAATTATTATTATTATTATTGAGATGGAGTCTCACTCTGTTGCCAGGCTGGAGTGCAGTGGCATGACCTCAGCTCACGGCAACCTCCACCTCCTGGGTTCAAGTGATTCTCCTGCCTCAGCCTCCCGAGTAGCTAGGACTACAAGCTCATGCCACCACGCCCAGTTAAGTTTTGTATTTTTAGTAGATACGGTGTTTCACCATGTTGGTCAGGATGGTCTCCGTCTCCTGACCTCGTGATCCACCCTCCTCAGCCTCCCAAAGTGCTGGGATTACAGGTATGAGCCACCACTCCCAGCCAGAAGATGTCTTTACCTATTCTGTGATAGAATCATTATTCACTTGGTCCCACATCTTTCTCTTTATAGTTTTATTCCTTTACTTTAGTGGAACACATCAATAAGTATATTCTAAGAAATGCCATATAGGTATCAATTTTTCAGATGTT